>NC_000006.12:10363030-10514545 GCF_000001405.40 Homo sapiens
GCTTAAACCCAGGAGGTGGAGGTTGCAGTGAGCTAAGTTGGCACCATTGCACTCCAGCCTGGGTGACAGGGCAAGACTGTCTCAAAACAAAACAAAATAAAACAAAAACTGGGACATGAGTTTTGTTCTGTTTTGTTTTAAAAGAGTCTCAAAAAAACATTCAAGGGAGGACGTGGGGACTGTCTCACATCATCAAAAAAATAGAATTTCCAAGGGTGATATATAGAAAAAAATCAAACATGTATTAGTTCTTTAACTTACTCATCCTATGGGAAAGGCCCTAAAAGGAAAACCTAACAAGCAAAAATTAAATTAAATATAGTTTCTACCAGTAGAAACTGCAAACCGGCTAGAAAAGATGGGACACACACATGATAAAACAGACAGCCATGGTGAGGGGTACCATGATCATTAGTTCTAGAATCAAACTAGGGAAAGATCAATAGATGCTGGAATATTCATGTACGAGATTATGGATTGGGAGGAATCTTTTAAAACGAGCACAGTTTGCGGCCGGGTGCGGTGGCTCATGCCTGTAATCCCAGCACTTTGGGAGGCCGTGGCCGGCGGATTGCCTGAGCCCAGGAGTTTGCGACCAGCCTGGGCAACACAGTGAAACCCTGTCTCTACTAAAATACAAAAAATTAGCTGGGCGTGGCAGCGTGCGCCTGTAATCTCAGCTACTAGGGAGGCTGAGGCAGGAGAATCACTTGAACCTGGGAGGCGGAGGTTGCAGCGAGCTGAGATTAAGCCACTGCACTCCAGCCTGGGTGACAGATCAAGACTCCATCTAAAAAAACAAAAACAAAAACAAAAACCAGCACAAGCAAAGAGAAAAGGAAAAGGCACAGCAAACAGACGTGCTGTGGCGGTTTCCAATGCTTCCACCACACAGAAGCCCCCAGTTAAAACAGCAACTAAATGTGCTATAATTTCACTGAGGGGCGGATGAGGAGGGGAGACTTTTCCTCATTGTCAGCACAAGTTGTAACAACCCCATCGCCCTCTGCCAGAGGTGGAGAAATTGGGCTCATCATCGTCTATCTATGTTTCCCAAGGTTCTGAGTAGTTCATCTGTCATGATCCCAAACTCCTCCAACAGGTCTTGGCGATGTGATTCATGTCATTTCTGATTCATCCAGGGATGATGTCTGTCTTTTCCATTTCTCCCGTGGTACTCAGTCCTGTAACAATACACTTGGGAAGTTTTCTTCTTTGTGTTTCCAAAACCCCTGTTGCTTGCCGCAGAGAAAGCCAATGGTGGAGACAATAGTATTGCCCAGGAAAAAAGCTTTAATTGGGCGTTGCAGCCAAGGAGATGGGTAATCTGTCTCAAATCCATTTCCTTGACCAACTAAACTACTAAAACTAGAGATTTGTGTAGGAGGGAAGAAATGTTACAATGTGTAAGAAAACAAGAACTAGGGAGGGGCAAGGTAGCAATCATGATAAATGAGGGGTCTGGCATCTCATTGTGGTGATCTGGTGAGTTTCAGTTCTTTGATACTTTTTTTGAGGAGCCTGAGCATCCTTTCCTGAGAAAGGAACTCAGATAAAACAAATTAAGTTTCAAGCTTTATCACCAGAAGGGTCAATTTCTATGTTTATATATATATATTAAAAAAAAATCTATGGGACTATTGGGTGCCTACAAGAGTATAACACATTCTACCAGTGAAGGCTCAGGTGCAGAATAAAGCCTTCATTGATAGCTGTGATCTGTGATTTAAGGCAGGAGGCTACTTCCAGGACTATTCTTCAATGGTTCAGGCTTTTAGGTTACCTTCTGCGTGCTAAAGACTTCGTATCTTTTAGAACATGAAGGGACAGAGCCAGAAAATATCTCATGTTTCAGTGAGACATTGAAAGTTCATATTCACAGTGAAAGAATCTGGCCCATTTTACTGGTTCATTGATCTCATTTTTCTAGTGATTTTTAGATCAAGGCTCTTGACCTTTAAGATAATGATTTGTTGGTAGATCCTAAAACCCCCAAACCTGGTGTGCGTTTTTTTCTTTCCCACAGCAGAGACACCTGAACATTTATTTTTGTGCCTTTCTTCCTACATGCATTTCAAGTCTTTTCAAAACAAGGCCCCAGAAATCTCCAGATTCAATTATGTCCCTGGGCTTTGTCCATTGCTACAGGAGTCTTAGGGAGCCTGTACAAATGCTTGAGTTACTCATTCAGCAACAATTAAACCCTAGGATAGAAGATGCGACAAAGCAGGACTCCTTCCTCCATGGCATGTGCTGATTTCAGATGAGGCAGCAGCCAGTGTAGAAAACACTGGAATTTTTCCTTGGAACTGGACTGCGATGAGAGGTGCTTGCCATGAACATAACCTACTGTCTTTTCTTTGAACTTTCCTTTCCATTTTTGAAGATAAAACAGGAAATCATCTTCTCCGAAGATACTTGATAATAATTCCAAAAAAAACAAAAACACGTGCTTCCCCTGCACTGTGCTTTCAGATATTCTGGCTCTAGTTCAGCTGGTGGATGAGCTGATTGATGCATTCACCCTGATAGCCAGGTAAGCCCATCTCCCTGAGGAAGCCCATTCTATTCTTGGCAGTGGACAGGCCACCAAGAGGTGGAAAGGGTGCAAGAACCATAAGATCTCCTGGAAATACTTCCCGGACAAGGCAATTTCATGAATGAGCTCTTCCAAGCAAATGACACCAAATTTCCCCAGGTACTCCTCAATCACTGTGTTGTCTGTCAGAGGGATGGCCTTATTCTTGACTGTGGCTTGTCGACATTTCAGAATGAGATCCCGGACAAACTTCACATTTGGAAATCCCCGGGTCACATAAGGTTCCACTATATGCAGCATTTTTAGGTTCTAGCGGGTAACTTTTACAAAGACACCACTAAAAATTTTCTTCAGGTGAAGTCTTGCAATGGTTCTCTGCACAGGTAACTCACACCATTAATCCTTTCAAGGAGTATAACAAAGGCCAAGGAGCCCGTAATTTCAGCACTTTGAGAGGCCGAGGTGGGAGGATCACCTGAGGTCAGGAGTTTGAGACCAGCCTGGCCAACATGGTGAAACCCCATCTCTACTAAAAATACATAAATTAGCTAGGCGTGCTGGTGCGTGCCTGTAATCCCGGCTACTGGGGAGGCTGAGGCAGGAGAATCGCTTGAACCCAGGAGGAGGTTGCAGTGAGCCGAGATCGTGCCACTGCACTCCAGCCTGGGCAACAGAGTGAGACTCTGTCTCAAAAAAAAAAAAAGAAGGAAGGGAGGGAGGGAGGAAGGAAGGAAGGAAGGAGAGAGAAAGGCCAAGGAATGTTTATCTGGCAATTCCAAGGCATGAGGTTTCACTTCTAGTTGTCTGAGATGCACCTTGTCACGTTTCTGCCACCAGGAATCATGTAGAAAAAATTCCAGTCACTTAAACCTGAGCCCTTTTTCTTTCCTCTGCTCCTCCTTTGCCAAAAGTGCCTGAGTTGCCTGAATGGCTTTGAGGGCTTGATAAGCCTTCCTCTTTTTCAGGAGATTTTCTGGAACCAAAGGAATTTTTCTTTGCTCTTGCTCCGCCATCTTTCTAGTGTATTTGGTGGTTTTTCAAAGTAGTTACTGCTGTCATACCCCAAAGAGTGACATTTGTGGTCAAAAGTATTCTTTATAAGGATAACATTGAGATCTGTTTTGTGGCTTAAAAAAAAGAAAGTCATGGCTGGGCACGGTGGCTCATGCCTCTAATCCCAGCACTTTGGAAGGCCAAGGTGGGTGGATCACCTGAGGTCAGGAGTTCGACACCAGCCTGACCAACATGGAGAAACCCTATCTCTACTAAAAATTCAAAATTAGCCGGGCGTGGTGGTGCATGCCTGTAATCCCAGCTACTCGGGAGACTGAGGCAAGAGAATCGCTTGTACCTGGGAGGCGGAGGTTGCGGTGAGCCGAGATCACACCATTGTACTCCAGCCTGGACAACAAGATCGAAACTCCGTCTCAAAAAAAAAAAAAAAAAAAAAAAAGTAAAGAAAAGAAAAGAAAGTCAGTTGCAAGGATGAAACAATAAGGCAACAAATTTCCATCAGAAGGTCAGGTGGTAACCTTTGAAGAGTACTGCAAATTACATGAGATTCTGGAAGCTCAGATCAAAACATAGTTCAGGTTTTTACCAAAGCTGACATTCTGAACATTTTAGATCAGCCGATTTGATATCATTCATTGGCAAAATTTTAGAAGAGTCAACACAGGGAGAAAAAAAATCTTGTGGACAGAAGAAAAAGAAGATGAGATTGCAAGTCAGTAAGGGCCCACTAACAACATCAAAGAGAGGACTACATTCATTTCCTTTTTACAAAATATTACCAGCCTAAAAAATCTTTTCAACATCAATATCTTTACTTTTTAAAAGCTTTTTAAGAAAATCCGTTTTATTCTTGTGGCATTGAAGAATTACAAGCTGGATGGTAGTATAGTTCTAGGTGAGTCAAACTTCATTGAGCAACTTACCCAGGAATACTTACTTCCCGTAGGTAGACTGTCCCTGGAAGTATACAAGACCCCCTCAGCCTTCACCAGTTGGCTAAGGGTTGCTGCCAGCCTCAGTTTCTTCTTGATTCAACATTATTGATCAAGAGGAGGCTCAACATTCTTATTCAGAAAGAGGCTTCTTGGCTCAACTTTTATTTACGTTGTCTCTGCTACCCCATTCAGAGATGCTCTCATCTTATTTGCATATAATTTCTTATATGTTTTGTAAGTTAATTGAGATCAATAAGATGAATTTGACATAAAAATGCCTCCGTTTCTCCACATCTTAGAACCTATGGTGTTGATAACTATGACCTTGAATGGGATAGAAGCACGCTACACTGACAACGTAAAACACTCATCCATATAAGTGTATGCTCATTTTAACAATATATTATTTTAATACATTCTATTTATCAGAGATGCCAGTAGCTTTTTCTTCATATAGCTGTCGTTGAGATGCCTGGCACACAGTAGAGAGTCTGTGAACAGTTGTTGGAAGAGCAGACAAATAAAACATTGCTTGTGCTTCTAGAGTTCTTTGCTCAAGTTGATGTTTCCAAATATCTGAATTTCGAGGAGGGCTCTTGTCCTAATAGAGATCCAAGGAGAACTGTTAGGTAAGGATTTTTGAGGCGATGTACTCCAATCGTATTTAGCTTTAATAGGGATTGTGCACTGAAACCCTAGGAGATGCTTTGAAAATCTCTAAGAATACATATTATGAATTCAACAGCTCTCCAGTCATTTTGCTGATATATTAAAAGGCAACATTTTTATTAATTTATGCAGTGCTGTCTTACCAGTTCTAGGCAATAAAGAAGTTTACAAGGTCAGTCAGGATCTGAACAAAGAATAAATAAAAAGATAGTCTGAAACTGGCAATGCTGTCAGGAAATTGGTGGGTACAAAATGAATTGGGGGTGATGGCCCGGCGTGGAAAATTGAGGATCAAGTGACCCGGCATAATGTAGATGCCAAGACTGCAAAAAGTGACACAAGATCCTGACAGAAAATAATTGGTACTTATTTGCATATAATTTCTTATATGTTTTATAAGTTAATTGAGGTCAAAATGAACATAAATTCCCCTCGGCCCGTGTATTTTCATCTTATGCATCCCCAGTTCCCACCAGCCTCTGCTGAAGGAGGTCAGGCTAACCCATTCAGAAAAAGAAAAAAGAAAAAATCCCTGCTTAGCCCAGTCTAAGGCAGTAGTTCTCTAAGTTCATTCTGCAGCACTGCCAAGGGTCTCAATCTATCATCTCTCGCCTCGCCTTCCTCTTCTCATCACCATCTTAACATTAAAGTGCCAGACAGGCTGTTCACACTCAAGCAAATGATTTCCTTCACTCCTCATCACAATCCTCGTTTTGCAGATGATGAATCTGAAATACAGAGAGGTTTAGTACCAAGGGCAAGTCACCCAGCTGCTAACAGGAATTCCAATCCAAACAACCAGCTTCAAAGCCAGTGCTTTTAATTAAACCTCATGCTCTCTTGAACCATTCCTCCATAAATCAGAAAACCTCTAGCCCACCAGAATTGCATGGCTATCAGATATCAAGATGCCCATCTCCCTCTGAGCACCCCACCGGACCATAAAGACTCCTCGGTATCATGGAGACACAAAAGGCCAACCCATTTACACTCACCCTTTTCCATGCCACCAACCCCAGGAGGCTACTTGGGCTTGGAAGCTTCAGTCTCAGGCCACCCTGGTTTCCATGAATCTGTTTCCATGAATCTTCCCACACAAGAAGCAGTGCTCTAGGCATTCCCAGCCTTGGCTGACATATTTCTTCCACAACTTATGACCCCATAAGTACAGACACCTAGAAGAAAGTAAGCCTAATTCGGAGACTGAGATGGAGGGTGATCTTGACGAAGGCCTCACTTTCCTTTCTCGTTAACCATGAAGCAGAAACTATATTCATCAGTTTCCATGCTAGAGAAATTTTGAACAGAAAATGACGGAAAAATACTTTTACCGTCAGGAAAAAAAATAAAATAAAAGACAAGGTGGCTGGGCGCAGTGGCTCATGCCTGTAATCCCAGCACTTTGGGAGGCTGAGGCAGGCAGATCACGAGGTCAAGAGATTGAGACCATCCTGGCCAACATGGTGAGACCCCATCTCTACCAAAAATACAAAAATTAGCTGAGCGTGGTGGTGGGTGCCTGTAATCCCAGCTACTCAGGAAGCCGAGGCAGGAGAATTGCTTGAACCTGGGAGGCGGAAGTTGCAGGGAGCCGAGATCACGCCACTGCACTCCAGCCTGAGTGATAGAGCAAGACTCAAAAACAAAACAAATCAAAAAGACAAGGTGAAGAACAATGTGTATAATAGATTTCTATTATGAAGAGGAAGATAAAAATCTGTAGCATGTACAGTCATGTGACAAAAAATGACGCTCAGTCAATGACAGACTGCGTATACCATGGTAGTCCCATAAGATTCTAATGGAGCTGAAAAATTCCTATTGCCTAGTGACGTTGTCGCCATTGCAGTGTCTTAGTGCAATTCATTACTCATGTGTTTGTGGTGATGCTGGTGTAAACAAACCTACTCAACTCCCAGTCATATGAAAGTAGAGCACATCCAATTATGACTCACAACACTCCATAGTGATAATAAATGACCATATTACTGGTTTATGTAGTTACTGTACCATACTTTTTATCGTCATTTTAGAGTGCACCTTTCTACTTGTATTTTTAAAAGGCAACTGTGGAACAGCCCAGGCAGGTCTTTCAGGAGGGATTCCAGAAGAAGAGATTGTTACCACAAGAGATGACAGCTCCCCTGAAAACCTTCCAGTGCGGCAAGATGTGGGGGCAGAAGATACTGATATTGATGATCCTGACACTGTGTAGAACTAGGATGTGTGTGTTTGTGTCTTAAGGTTTTTAACGATGTTTTAAAAGGTTAAAAAAAAAAGTAAATAATTATAAAAATATTAAAAAGCTTATAGAATAAGGATACTGTATAGCTGTACAATATGTTTTTTAAGCTAAGTATTACTACAAAGGGACCAAAAGGTTAAAAAAGCTTTTTTGGTTTGTATAATAAAAAATTTATAGTAAGGCCGGGCATGGTGGCTGATGCCTATAATCCCAGCACATTGGGAAGCTGAGGCGCGAGGATTGCTTTTCAGGTCAGGAGTTCAAGACCAGCCTGGGCAACATTGGGAGACCTTGTATCTACAAAAAATACAAACATTAGCCATGCGTGGTGGCACACGCCTGTGGTCCCAGCTACTCCAGAGGCTGAAGTGGGAGGATCACTTGAACCTGAGAGTTAGAGGCTGTAATGAGCTATAATTGCACCACTGCACTTCAGCCTGGGTGACAAAGTGAGACCATGTCTCAATAAATAAATAAATAAATATGCAGATAAATGATGAACTAAGAGAGACTTTTGACGGTGTAATGTTTTGTGTATTTTCATTTTTGACCCATGAGAATATATTATCTATTCAAAAATCTAGGCCGGGCATGGTGGCTCACGCCTGTAATCCCAGCACTTTGGGAGGCCAAGGCAGGTGGATCACTAGGTCAGGAGTTCAAGGCCAGCCTGGCCAAGATGGTGAAACCCTGTCTCTACTAAAAATACAAAAAAATTAGCCAGGCATGGTGGCGGGTGCCTATAATCCCAGGTACTCGGGAGGCTGAGGCAGAGAATTGCTTGAACCCAGGAGGCGGAGGTTGCAGTGAGCCAAGACTGAGCCACTGCACTCCAGCCTGGGCGACAGAGCGAGACTCAAAAAAAAAAAAAAATCTAACAGGTTGATTTTTAAATTAAAAAAAATATGTGTATATTATATATATATGTGTATATTATATATATGTATAACCGTGAGAAGTATTAACATTGATTGCCTCTGAGCAGAGAAACCAAAAGGTAGAAAAATGATGTATTTGTTTCTTAACAGCTGCCATAAGCAAGTGCCACAAATCATGTGACTAAAAACAACAGAAATTTAGGCTGGAGGCTGTAGTGGCTCATGCCTGTAATGCCAGTGCTTTGGAAGGCCAAGGCAAGAGGCTAACTTGAGGCCAAGAGTTTAAGACCAGCCTGGGCAACATGACAAGGCCCCATCTCTACAATTTAAAAAATAGAAAAATTAGTCAGGCATGGTGGCATGCACTTGTAGTCCCAGCTACTTGGGAGGCCAAAGTGGGAGGATTGCTTCAGCCCAGGAGTTCAAAAGTGGGCACGGGGGGTCATGACTGTAATCCCAGCAATTTGAGAGGCCAAGGTGGGTGGTTCACCTGAGGTTAGGAGTTCAAGACCAGCCTGGCCAACATGGTGAAACCTGGTCTCTACTAAAAATACAAAAATTAGCTGGGCGTGGTGGTGGGCACCTGTAATCCCAGCTAGTCGGGAGGCTGAGGCAGGAGAATCGCTTGAACCTGGGAGGCAGAGGTTGCAGTGAGACATAATCGTGCCATTGCATTCCAGCCTGGGCAACAAGAGCGAAACTCTGACTCAAAAAAAAAAAGTGCAGTGAGCTATGATCCCACCCCTGCACTCCAGCCTGGGCAACAGAGGAAACCCTGTCTCTAAACAAAACAAAACAACAAAAAAAGAATTATTATTTTACAGTTCTAGAGCCTAGAAGACCAAAAACAAGGTGTCATGCTCCCTCTAAAACTCTGGGTGGATTCCCTCCTTGTCTCTTCCTAACTTCTGGTGGTGGGGGGGAGCTGGCAGTCATTGGGGCTCCTTGGCTTGCAGGTGCATCACTCTACTCCCTGCCTCTGTCTTTAACAGGTCTGTGTCCAAATTCCACCCTTCGTGTAAGGACAGCAGTCGTATTGCATCAAGGACCCCCGACTCAAGTATGACCCTGGCTTAACTAATTAGATCTGCAACAACCCAATTTCCAAATCAGGTTGCATTCTGAGGCATTGGGGGTTAGGACTTCAACCTATCTTTTGGGGAGACACCATCCAACTTGTAATAAACAGGGTGCGGAAATTTTT
Organism: Homo sapiens; assembly: GCF_000001405.40. NCBI lineage: Eukaryota > Metazoa > Chordata > Mammalia > Primates > Hominidae > Homo > Homo sapiens. The sequence goes on from NC_000006.12 coordinate 10,372,515, forward strand.
TGCAGGGTTTCCTTTTACACTGTTTTATTTTTTCATGCCATGTGCAGAAAAGAAATGCATAACATTTAAAATTTTAAAAGACTGCCATCACAAATGAGTGCATGGTTGGAAAAGGGACGTTCTGTGTTCAGGCTGTATTCTGAAACCCTATTGTGGAAAATTCTGCCTGCACTTGGGTGTGCTTGCTTTGGGGTTGACTTTACTTTTAGAACGTTCCCAGCATACAAAAGGAAAGTAAAAAATATGCAAGATAAATATACGCGTGTTTACACAAGCCCTGATCTTTTTATTTTTATTTTTTTTGAGACGGAGTCTCACTCTGTCGCCAGGTTGGAGTGCAGTGGCGCAACCTCCACCTCCTGGGCTCAAGCAATTCTCCTGCCTCAGCCTCCCGAGTAGCTGGGACTACAGGCGTGCACCATCACGTCCAGCTAATTTTTTTATTTTTTTTATTTTTAATAGAGATGAAGTTTCACCATGTTGGCCAGTATGGTCTCGATCACCTGACCTCGTGATCCTCCTGCCTCAGCCTCCTAAAGTTTTGGGATTATAGGCATGAGCCACTGCACCTGGCCCAAGCCCTGATATTTTTATTACCTTGGGACAGTCATAGTGGGATCCCACGGACACAGTCACTTTAACACAACTGGCACAAAGCATCCTTCATTTTGGGTTTAGTTTCTCTCCAGCAAATATAGGAAGGAGCAAATACTTATCACCCAGGATTCCCCTCCCCAGCATTTATTAACTAATCAATAAAACCTAACAGCGCCATCATTAATTCAGATGACACCCATTCACTTAGAAAGCCATAGGAGATTTCAGGGCGAAAAAGCCATCATCCACGAAGTGGCTGATATTTCTACTGCAAAATTCTGGAGGATTTGCTTTGTCAGAATGAAAGAACAGTTAATGTGTTTGCTGGCAAAAATTTAGAGTTTTGGGGGGTTTCAGGGAAGTGGGAAGGCTGATGAGGACTCTCTGCTCACAGAAAACCCATCATGAAAACTCAGCACAAAGTCTTCACTGACAGAGAAATTCAACACTTGGTTTTCTTTAAAAAGATCTATTGAAATGAAAAAATCAGGAGACCGAATTTAGTCACTGCTTTTTAAGAACACATTTTTCTCTCTAAATGCACCCATTTCCAAATCTCCTTTGATTACTGTCTCTTGTTTAACATTTTTCCAGCCAAGAGATCTAAACCTTCACAAAATGTATCTGATTAACTTAATTTTATTTTAGTTACTTTAGATGCAAGATCCCCTGCCAGTCACTACGGAGAACACAGATATAAATAAAGCATAGGCCCCACCCTCAATAAACTTGTCATCCCACCCAGTAAAGGAAACAGACATAAACAACTAACCCAACACAAAACAGAATGAGAATTTTTCCCCATGCTTTATTAAACAGGGCCTCATTGTAGCTGAAGCATGAACAACATTACATTTATTAACTTTATTATAAAGGATGTTCGATAAATAATGATGATGATGCCAGGATCACAGCAGCAGAGGTTAAACAGAGTTATAGCAGGGTTAAATAAAGTTACAAGAAATATGCGATAAAAAGTCAGGAGAAGAGACAATTGCTTCTGACTGGGGAGATTAGAGATGCTTTATGAGATGAATTTGTAAGCTGGGATTTAGAGGGTAAGAAAGTTTTTTTTGTTTTCTGAGTGAGAGGAATGGCATTCTAGGCTGAGCAAAGGTCAGGAGTCCTGTAAGTTCCTGACATGTTCAAGGCAAAGCAGGAAGCCTGGAGCAGCCAAAGCACAGGGTGTTTGCAGGAATTTAATGGAACAAAAGTCTAGAAGGGCAGTTTGGGGTAGGATTGGGGAAGAGCTTACCTGCCAGGCTAAGAGGAGGTTAATTTTTACAAAAGAAGGACTGCTGCAGTTTTTCGAGGAGGCAACTTATATAAGTGGACTCATGTTTAGGAATATAATTCTAGGCCACAATGAAATACTCAGCATTAACCCAGTGTGGCAAACGGACTGGAGGGAAGAATACCTGGGTATGAGGCTCTCAGAGGGAAAGTCTTGGTGTTAGCTCATTTCCAGCCTGATTATAAAACCACTTTACATTGTCAAAGCACTCTGCAGTTTTTTGTTTGTTTGTTTTGTTTTGTTTTGTTTTGAGACGGAGTCTCGCTCTGTCGCCCAGGCTGGAGTGCCGTGGCACAATCTCGGCTCACTGCACGCTCCGCCTTCCGGGTTCACGCCATTCTCCTGCCTCAGTCTCCTGAGTAGCTGGGACTACAGGTGTCCGCCACCACGCCCGGCTAATTTTTTGTATTTTTAGTAGAGACGGGGTTTCACCCTGGTTCTCGATCTCCTGACCTCATGATCTGCATGCCTAGGCCTCCCAAAGTGCTGGGATTATAGGCATGAGCCACCGTGCCCGGCCAGCACTCTGTAGTTTTATGGTAGCCTTTATTTCACCTAATCCACCCAAAATCCCCATGGTCTCTCTGTGTGTGTGTGTGTGTGTGTGTGTATGTGTGTGTGTGTGTGTGTATTACAATGGTCATTTTACAGATGAGGAAATGGAAGTATACCCATTGTAAGTGGCTCACCCACAACACAACACTGCCAGTTCCTCAGCCTCCAAACCCACTCCTCTTTCCACTAAACCACAGCCAACTCCAAGCATGTCCATCTTTACTTTAGAGTGGGGGTTATTTCCTTGAAGATATCTAATGTTGTAGATGAAAAGATAGAAATATTTGAGAGTTTAAAAACTAGTTTCCTTTTCACAAAATTGCCTCTTTACACGCACACACACACACACACACACACACACCCAAAACTTGAGCACCAAGATTTAGAGCGAAGCAAATGTTAGCAGTCAACTTTTAAACTTTTGGAAATGGTGTCATTAAAGGAATAACAGCCACAATAACAAGACTACAATAAAACAGTCAATACTCATATGGTGTGAATGAGAAGAATTGTTTGTTACATTCGCTCAGGAATGTGGGTCAACCTTCTCATGCTTCCCCTACAGCCTTGTCTGAAGCATTAACAAATGGCTTTTGTGTCCCTGTCTATGTGACTATGGTATGTAACTGGACAAGCGGCTACTTCACACAAGAAGGGTTTATATATAAAGGTTTATATCTACCCATGGCCCCAGACAGGGCCTTCTGCCCCAGATGGAATGAAATGCTATTTGAGAATTACTGTGGTTTGGTTCCCACCCCCGCCGCCTTAGCCCTGTTTTGGGAAGTCACTAACTCCAGCTGACTGGGCTTTGCCCTTTGTTGGCAATGAGTCCCAAGCCAGATTTTCTGCTAGCATACCCTAATGTGCTCACTGGCTCCTTAGGACTACCCAGGGTGTCTTTGTGGGTGGCAGTGCTTTTTATTTTTCAAATTTTGGTGGAAGGGGGAAGAGGGGGCTCTACTATTCTTTGTAAATGAGGCCATTTCAGGTAAAGCTATTTTTGTGACCATTTTCATCCCCTTTTCTCCCTCAAGCCACCTTTCCTTCCCCTCTTCACTCGCTCGTTTAGTAATTATGATCATTTCTGCTTTCTCGATTGTTAGAGTCTATTAGTATATTTTCCAACTTGTCTTATGTTCTACTGTTTAAATGTCTTTATATAGTGAAAAATTCCTTCCAAAGCTGTCTCTAAATTTTCAGATCTTGGGCTCAGCAATTTCTTAGGTTAAGCTTTGGGCAAGATATAGAAGTGGTAATTACAGTTAGTCCAAAGGATAAAAACTGCAAACCAAAAGAATAAATTACGGACAACCTTGTGAAGGGATTTTATTGCTTTCTCTGTGTTTTAAAAGTAGATATCTTAACCTCTGCATAAATAAAAGGAAACATGATTGGAAAATCAACAATAAATCAACATATTCTTAACTTGTAATTAATAATATGGAAATTCATCTGTCCAAAAGCTCACCCTTCTAGAGGTGTCGTTTTATCTAGCAGCTTTGTTTTGAAGCAGGGAAACTGAGGCCAAACGTTGGTTTTCCATGCTTCTTCAGGGTTAACTAATTTCTGAGGGAACTAAAGGAATATTTGAGAATTCACTTCCCTGTTTTATGAGGCACCGGGTGTGGGGTTTCCCTACATCAAGCCAAGAATCAGGGGGATTTTTTTAATCGGTAAAATAATAACAGATTTTTGGACAAAGCAGCCAAAGTAGTTGCTGCTTTTTTTTTTTTTTTTTTTTTGACACAGAGTCTCGCTGTGTCGCCCAGGCTGGAGTGCAGTGGCGTGATCTCGGCTCACTGCAAGCTCCGCCTCCTGGGTTCACGCCATTCTCCTGCCTCGGCCTCCCAAGGAGCTGGGACTACAGGTGCCCGCCACCACGCCCGGCTAATTTTCTGTATTTTTAGTAGAGACAGGGTTTCACTGTGTTAACCAGGATGGTCTCGATCTCCTGACTTCGTGATCCACCCACCTCGGCCTCCCAAAGTGCTGGGATTACAGGCGTGAGCCACCGCGCCAGGCCAGTTGCTGCTTTTTAACCAACTGAGCAAGTCAGCCATGATAGCTAAACTAGTAGTGGTTTTTATTTGTTTGTTTGTTTGTTTGTTTTTGAGACAGAGTCTTGCTGTCACCCAGGCTGGTGTGCAGTGGCGAGATCTCAGCTCACTGCAGCCTCCGCCTCCCTGGTTCCAGCAATTCTGCCTCAGCCTCCTGAGTAGCTGGGATTACAGGCATACATGACCACTTCTGTCTAATTTTTGTATTTTTAGTAGAGACCAGGTTTCACCATGTTAACCAGACTGGTCTCGAACCCCTCACCTCAGGTGATCCCCCCGCCTCAGCCTCCCAAAGTGCTAGAATTACAGGCGTGAGCCACTGCGCCCAGCCTTAACTAGTAGTCTTAAGCACACTCAGCCTGAGTTAGTGAGTCAAGTTCTCCTACCTAGCCCAGTGGTTCTCAATTTCTCACTATTATCACTCCCTCAATATAAAGTCTAACAAGAGAAATTGAATACGAAGGAGTTACATTTTGTCAGGTAGGGTTAGTTTGAAGGACCACAGACCATTGTAACATCTGAGATTTGTTTCATCTCCCAGGAACCAATTTTTGCCCTCTTGAAGACAATATCACCCCAGTTGAGAATGCATGCTGTGGCCTAATTCCGTATATCAAAATGAGTAACCAGTCCAGCCCTACTCTGTGTATAAATCTTTTATTGGAACTTACTTCACTGTTCTGTAATTATATTTGTATTCGTCTGCCTCCCACCAGGCAATAAAATTCTCAATGGGATTTTTTTTTACTTCCTAGAAAAGAGCTCAAAAGCATTGAATAAATGAATGAACAGATGAATAAATGAAATATAAAGATTGATTGGCACAATCCAGAAGCCAGTATGTTCTTAATAGCTCTGCCTCTTCATTCCTTGACTAACTGATCTGAGGTTCAAACAGTAAAGGCATCTGCAGGTGTTGCCTCAGACAAGTGACTACTGTGAAATGGCACTAGGTTTCCAAACATCCACAAAGTCTTGCCCACTTTTTGGAGGATAACAGGTGCAGGAGGCAGTGACAGAGATTTGATGTTTGTTTGATGTCTTTGTGACCATTTCTCTACCAGATACAATAGGGTGTAGGAAGTAGTAATTATGTTGTCTCAAAGCAGCATTGTAAGTTTACTTACAAAAATGAACACTTAACCTTTCTCACTGTTGTGCCTGGACTGGCTGCCTAGAGTGATGGCCGAGAGCAGGGCTAATGGTCCAGGCAAGGCAGAACAGGGCACCCTGCAATTAGGAGGAAGGATATCCCTAAAGAAGATGGTGGTGGGGGATGCCAGAAACCCACTCCTGCCAGACCCTGAGATCCCACAGGATGCAGGGAGACTCAGTGGGAACAGCCAAATCTTCTCCAACAGTATTTCCTCCATTAAACCAGGAGTCTCTCTGTCTCATTCTCAACAGATCCATCACCGCTCATGTTCCAAAACAATCACTCAGCCAAAGTTCAATCAATTTCAGTGGTTGCTGCTGCAGAGTAGGTTATTGTAGCTACTAACAATTACAGATAAGAAACAGCATATAATAATAATAACAACAAAAACAATAGTATATTCATGCAGCATTCTAACATTTGCAAAGTGTTTTCATAAATAAATGGAATTTTAATTTCACCACACCGTGAACAATATAGACTAGATGGGTATTAACTGCATTTTATAGACAAGAAAGCTGAAGGCAAATGACTGGAACTCCTAGGGTCGTAGGCTCTTCATTCTAGTGTAACAGATACCTGAGTTCCAGATGAGGCACTGCCGATTACTCACTGGTGGCCTAAGCCCCAACACTTACCTGCTCTCAACCTTGTTTCCCTCATTTAAAAAATAAAGATAGGAAAAACAGCACGTATCTCAAAGGGTTGCCAAGAGTTTAAATGAGGTAAAGCCTATGTGGCACTGAGTGCAGTAACTGGCAAAAGATAATAGCTAAAAAAAAAAAATAGTTATTAGTATTAGTACTTGTATTTATTTTTTTATTCCCTATTTTGTTAAGAAAGTACTTGTGACCGGGCGCGGTGGCTCACGCCTGTAATCCCAGCACTTTGGGAGGCCAAGGCAGGTGGATCACGATGTCAGGAGTTCGAGACCTGCCTTACCAACATGGTGAAACCCCATCTCTATTAAAAATACAAAAAGTAGCCGGGAGTGGTGGTGCGCGCCTGTAATCCCAGCTACTCAGGAGGCTGAAGCAGGAGAATCTCTTGAACCCGGGAGGCGGAGGTTGCAGTGAGCCGAGATCGTGCCGTTGCACTCCAGCCTGGGTGACAGAGGGAGACTCCGTCTCAAAAAAAAAAAAAAAAAAAAAAAAAAAAAAAGAAAGAAAGCACTTGTATTTAGATTACATAAAATATTAAGCAATATGTGCAAAGCTAAAATGATTCAATTCCAGCAGCTCTCAAGGGCAAAAGAAAAATATTCAAATTGTCCTAGCTATTTACAAAAAATATATATATTTTTGACTCGTAACAAATAAAGACATAGAGAAATGATCCCATTAAGGAAATATAAAACATCTTCCTTAAAACCATATTCTTTATATGACTTTCATCAATAGACTTCGCATCTCCTTTCCTCAACTCCATTTCATAAAGAGGAATCTGGAGGGTAACAGTCATTTTCCCAAAGTTAGGTAAGAGGCCATTTGCCCAGCCATGTAAAATAATACATCAGCCAAAACAGGACAATTCAAAATATTAGCTTCATAAGAAGATGGGTTTCTGTCTGTTTTGTTTGCTTACTGTATCCTCAGGGCCTGGAACAGTTCCTGACACATAGTATGTTATCAGAAAATGTTTGGTGAATATTGAAAATATTGAGTGCTTGAGCATCTTTTTTTTTTTTTTTTTTTTTTTTTTTTTTTTTTTTAGAGACGGAATCTCGCTCTGTCTCCCAGGCTGGAGTGCAGGGGCGCAATCTTGGCTCACTGCAAGCTCCGCCTCCCGGGTTCACGCCATTCTCCTGCCTCAGCCTCCCGAGTAGCTGGGACTACAGGCGCCCACCACCACACCCGGCTAATTTTTTGTATTTTTAGTAGAGACGGGGTTTCACCATGTTAGCCAGGATGGTCTCGATCTCCTAACCTCGTGATCTGCCCGCCTCAGCCTCCCAAAGTGCTGGGTTTACAGGCGTGTGCTTGAGCATCTTAATTCATCTTCAGATATTATCAAGGAGATTGTTCATTGAGTAATTTTCTGCTGTTGTTCCATTCAATCATTCACTTATTCAATACACACCTATTAAGCACCTACTATGTGCCAACTCTGGGCTGGGTGCTGGGCATAGAAATGTCAGAAGAAGGCCCGGTGTGGTGGCTCATGCATGTAATCCCAGTACTTTGGGAGGCCAAGGCGGGTGGATCACCTGAGGTCAGGAGTTTGAGAACAGCCTGGCCAACACGGTGAAACCCCATCTCTAGTAAAAATACAAAAATTAGCTGGGCGTGGTGGCAGTAACCTGTAATCCCAGCTACTCAGGAGGCTGAGGCGGGAAAATCTCTTGAACCTTGGAGGTGGAGGTTGCGGTGAGCCAAGATCGTGCCCCTGCACTCCAGCCTGGGCAACAGAGTGAAACTCTCGTCTCAAAAAAAAAAAAAAAAAACTGTCAGAATAAGATCACCTGCTATAGGAGTGTACCTCTGATATGCAGAGAGGAAGGAAAAAGCAAACATATAGGGCAGGTGTGGAGGACAATGAGCTTGCCCCTCCCCTCCGCTTCTCCCAGGCATTGCCTTGGGCTCTTCTTTCTGCATAGATTTTGAAGAAGTTTGAGTCTGTAACAAGCTTTCTATTTCAAAAGAAAAGAAACAGGAGCGTTTTGTGATTTTATTTCCACTCTGACCCACCGGCTCCTGCACTTCTACATTTGTCGTTGTGCCATTGCTGCCACTGTTGTTCTTGTCCAGGGAAACACCGGTGGCCAACCCAGATCGGATACAATGGTGCGGCTCTGGACTGAGCCTCCAACCACATTAGCCATGGGCAGCATTGTTGCTGCCGCTGCTGTTATTTTAATTATGATTGTACGTTAACCACCACCTTCCTTCCTCTGCCTCCCTTCAGCTGCAATGATGTATGTTACTTTTTGGTAACTGGATTTCATTAACATTTATGAACTCTCATAAAGTAGTAGAAAAAGCAATTTGTGTGGAAGAATTTTCCACCTCATTAAACAGTGTTCTTTTGGGGGTCAAGCTGATATTTTTTTTGTTGTTAGATTTTTTTTATAGGTCCTTTGTCCTTCCCTAAGCCCTGGGGGATGAAAGGAGAGCCGTCCACCCAGCGAGGGGCTTGTGTGCCCTAGAGGGCGCTGGGCCCCGCGCGCTTTCCTGGCTGTCCCCGCCGGCTTTCCACCCTCCCCAAAGCCCAGGTGCCCACCGTGGGTCGCTGCGGCCTTTCCCCTTCTTGGCCAAATCCGATTACTTCGCAGCCTGCAGATGGCATCGCCGGCTAAGGGCAGCCTGCGGCAGGTCCCCGAGCCTGAGCACTCCTCCTATCTGGGGCCTGAGAGGACGCTCTGGGCTTTTTCCCAGGCCCAGGGTGCGCGGCCTGCTAGCGCCTTTCGAGGCACAGTCCCAAGATAGGCTCTTGTCCTTCGACGCCCCCTTGGCACAAGCGCACTGGCGCCCTCCGCTCAACCCACCTTGCCTTTGGGGCGGGCTTCAACCCTGGGAAGACAGGCCTGGGGGAAGCGAGAGGAGAGGCCCGAATAGAGGTTCCGGCTCAATCTTTCCCAGACGGAGGCCTGGTGTTTCCAGCTCAGTTGCATCTTCCAGCCGCGGGCTCCTGGCCCAAACAGAATGTGTTTGCTTTCACACCGGGACGGCAAGCGGAGTCCGCCTCAGTGAGCAGCGAGCTGCGCAGTCCGGACGGGTGTCGCCCCCAGAGACTCGCCAGCCGCCCCCAGACACTCGCCAGCCGTCCCCATCTCTAATCCACCGTCCAGGCCCGGGCCCTGGGAAGACCCCGGGGACGCGCTGGAGCCCCTGAAGGGGGTCAGGGGGAACAATGCCCGAAAAGGGAGCCTCCCCGACCGCCAGTCCAAAGGAACCGGGGATGTGGCAGCGATTGCGAGGGGCCTAGGTTAGGGACACGCTCTTCTCGCTGGGTCCCAAGCCCAATCACCCAGGCCAATCACCAGCCTCTAACCTCCTTCCCCTCTAACCCCATCCCCACCTAGGAAGTTAAAAAACGCCCCTGCCGCCTTGACTCTTAGGGGGAGAAAGAGGAAACCCGAGGACTCCTGCCTGAGGGCTCCATAAAGTAACCAGGAACCGAGTGACAGGTGCTGGGAGAAATGAACATGCAGAAAGACCAGCTTTTTCTATTCTAAATGTGAATATGTAAAACAAGAGTTCAAACTCAAGAATCTGGGTGTCCATTTTGATTAAAAAACAAAACATCTCTCCAAGAAACAGGTTCTATGGTACTTGTGAGATGCTTTTCTGCCAGACAGCTCCCAAATCACATCTTATTAAGGGAGACTTCGAAGGCCTGTTAGCAGGTGACTGCGGCAGGGGCAGGGGCGCATCAGCTGTCCGGCTTGGACCGGCGTGGGCGTGGGCTGGGGGCTTTTCCGATTTGCTGAGTCAGCCGCGGGCGCCGCGGGCTTTGGTGTTTCCAGCCCAAGCGACTGTGCTTCGCTGACTGGTGTGTCAACTTGGTAGTGTAATTATTGTTTTGTTTTCTAATATGTAATTACTCTTTGTCGTTGCTATTATGAATCCACCGAGCTTGACTCTTGAGCAGCAAGATGGATTCAAGTTTGAAGTTAGGATTTGATGCGTGGGGAAAACTGGCTTCTCCCCATGCGTAGGACACTATAGGGGCCCACGCGTGTCTTCCCCGCAGCCCAGCAAGAAAGGGGGCGCCGGGGGTGCCCTGGCGGATAACAGGCGGTCACGCCTGATCCCCGCATAACAGATCCACTCTCCGTGTGGCTACGAGCATGAATTGCCGAGGTTGTTTTCCTCTTTAGCATATTTATAAAGGCAGAGAGAGGGGCGGAGAAAGGGAGGGAGAAAAAAAAGATACACTGGAGAGATGGGCTGTAAAGTTGAGAATAGACAGAAATAGAGGAGAAACGGCATTAGAGGGACAAGGAAGAGCTCAGAGAAAAAGACAAAGATGAAGAGAGAATGAGAGAACAGATTATTGTTTATTTTCAAATGTTTCCTTTTAGATTTAAAGTGAGATACTGCAAAGTTCCCTCAGTTTCCACTTACTTTACCACACTCTGCTTCAGTAAATCCCCAAGAGCTGCCAGGTTCCTGCACGTTCTCCCCTAGCCGTGCCTCGAGTTCAGAGCGCGGCCCTCACTGTACAGGCCTCCCCCGCCCGACGGAGCGTCCCCTCGCACCTCCCCAGAGTTGCCTAACTCCTAGGCCCTGAAAGTGCCAGAACAAAGGCCGACTCCCCCGGCGCCTCCCTCGGGGACTGAGCACCCTGGGCCCTGCTGACGAAGCAAACCCCAGACTCAGCTCAGCTACCCACGCTCCCAGCCACGTCGCGGGTGGATATTCCCGCCTGGGCTGGGCACCGCGGAATCAGCACCGCCTGCTGCGCAGGCCCCGCCCAGAGGCTGCACCACCCAGGCCCTGCCCGCCGCCCTCTGCAGCCTAGGCGGGGTGTGTGGCGTCGCGGTCAGCCTTACCGAGGGACACGCCGCCCCGGGCCGGGACGGGGTGGGGCTGTGGGGGATCCTGGGCCGAGGAAAGCGATCCATTTTCTCTAACCGTTTGCTCCAGAGCTGTCAGGTTAGCGTGGCCTCCTCGGCCGCCCAGAGAAGAATGTGTTAAAATTCTTTGCACGGGAGCCTTTCCCAGCCCAAATATACCACACTGTGGCGTTCCTCGTGCCGACCGTGGGTCTCTAACCTAGCCACCTTCTCCCGTTGAAATATGCACATCGCTATTCAATAATTTAGACAACTGGGAGACTGGACAAGTATAATTTTTTTTCCAAACACACGAGCATCCGGGATGCCATCAATCATGCTTTTGTTTTATGTGAGATGGGCTTTGTGTGTTTAGCTGCCCGGCTCCATTCTATTTGCATGTGGCTATTTAATGGGCATTTATTTTAGCTTTGAAGATCTGCTTAAAAATCTGAACCCAGAGAAGGGGGGAGGGGCGCCCCTCTTGTGATTCGGGTGGGTTTGCCTTTGGGACCCTTTCCTTTGAGGAGACTGCCCCTGCGGGTCCCGATTACAGATGAATTTTTATTCCGAGGTGGGGCACGTAATGGAACGGAAAAGATATGATCTGTTTCCCAAATCTCAGGGTGTCTTTCTAGCAAACAATGCTCCAGTCACTGTTTGTGTATGAGACAAGTAATTGTGCTGCAAATGCTTAAATAAATCATTGATGGGTGAAATTACACATTCTCACTTAAAGTGTAATGTGATTAAGAGATTATGAAATTGAAGCTAATATCTTGTCTCCCAGCTCCTGGCCCCAAGTCTTGACACCAGAAATTTATCAACTACAACTGTCCTGAAATTTACAAATACCATAGGTTTCTATTGACAGCGAATCAAAGACAACCTCTAAAAAATAAAAATAGGTATATGTGCTTCTGCATATTGCGTTGGTCGTGGTTTTGTTTAAAAAGACGTAAGAAGGGAAGAGAAAGACTGAGATGATGGGGAGATGGTATTTGCTTGTTTCATCTTTTATTTTTAAAAGTAAATAGGGAAGGGGGAAGGAGGGGGAGCCGTGGCGGGCGCTACGTCTGCGAGCTGATTACTCCCCGTCTGAAAGCGGCTCCATTTCCCGCACGGTGGGTAAGTCCTTTATCGGGGGAAGCCCCGGCCTCGCCCGCAGCCATTCCTCGCCTCGAGGCGCGCGCCGGGCCGGGGCGCGGGAGCCGCTCCGCGACTCCGTAATGACCCGGGTTCGCCGCAGCTGCGCCCTGACCCTTTGTGATGGCGCCGATAGCGCTCGGATGAAATTATGTCCTTCTCCGGGTGTGAAATTACCATGTTTATTAATTGAGCCAGACATTAGCTTTACCTTTTCTTTTTAAGCCGTGAAAATTTGCGATTCAGGGCAAATGATTCTCCGACAGACGCTGGGCTCCACATCCCACCCCTCCCAGCCCGCGCCCCCTCCGGTCCTCGCGCTCCCCGGCCGCCACGTCCCGGGCAGTTCAGGAAAGCTTGCTAGGTTTCCACGCCGGAAAGCCCAAGGAGAAGGAGCCAGCAGGCCTCTGAGCGTGTGAGCGCGTGTGCGTGTCAGCGCGTACATGGGGGTGTTTTCCTCTTCGGGAAGTGTTATCAAACAGTAATAGCTACCCTCGACTCCGAATCACAGCATTCCCCCCAGAATTCCTGATCAGTAAAACCCAAATCGTTTTCAAGACAAAGGAGCATCAATCAGCGACAAAGACAGATTTAACGTATTAAATCTTTATTAAAGTGAAGTCATTCTTATTGAAATGATGTATTGGGTGTGCAGAAAGATTGGATTTTTTTTTTTTTTTTTTTTTGACAATGTGTAAAATGGAGATGGTGGCGGAGAGCTTGCGCCGCGTCTTGCCCTGATTGTTCTGGGCTGGGATTGGATTACTGGGACTGCCCAGGGTCCCGCGCCAGGAAACACCACCTTGGACTACAGGGAAGAGACTGATCTCCCTCCTCCTGCCGGCCCCCACGTTGATTTCCCGAGAAACAAGCGTGTCCCAGGTCTTCTCAAAAACTTCCCTCCTTGGTCTCCGCATTAGGGAAACTGAGGTACTGCTGGCATGGCTGTCCATACGTTTGCTAAATCAGCTACTCCAGAGGCCTAGAGAAGGGAGGGAACGCCCTGGGTTTTCCAGAACAAGACACAGATCTCTCCGTAGCCTAAAGAAAGTCCTTGCGCCCCAGGTCTGAAAGCCAAGGGGAGCCTGTGTTTGCTCCCAGCGGGGTCGCCGGCCGTCTCCACAACCCTTGCTTCCTACAGGCAGAATTGAATGCAGGAGCTGGCTGTCTTCCCGCCTGGGGTGGGCTCTCAATTCAACTGGACCTCGGGTCCTGTCAAGGAAAGGAAACCAGGAGGAGGAGGAGGAGGGAGTTCAGGGAGGAGTCCTCTCCCCCAGGGATGGGCTGCCCAGAGTTTGCTGCATTGCATCTCAAATGGCTCAAATTCTTACCTCCCCAGGAGAGAAAGCAGAGGGGGAATGTAAAATTGTAGGCTGCTTTTCAGAATGGCAGCCTCAACTTTAACAAAAAAAAAATGTGTTTGTGTCTCCACCTTCAGACACACAGACATCCACACTAACTGAAAATGAACTGTTGGAATCAATTTCCTCGGAATACTCAACTTTTTTTCTATCATATTTCAGCAATGGACTGAACAGTTATAGCTGGTTGATTCAATTTAGTATTTGCATAACCACGAGAAGAAGGTGGCTTTGCAGACTCAATGAATAGGTCTCTTGTTTGTTGTGTGTGTGTTGTGGGGTTGGATTTTTAAATACATGTGGGGAGGAGGAGGGCATCTCTAGGGCTATGCTGCTGCCCCAGGAGTCAGAAACTGAGAAGCTGCTTCTGGGCTGATGACAGTATTGTTTCCTTACTCCTCCAAGTTCTCTCTCCCTTCCCTCATATCTACCCCTGGAATCCTCTACATTGGAAAATTCACTCATTGGATCTTTCTTTTGTTTGTTCTAGGCAGCTCTGCATGTAAAGACAAACTGCTGTAGTAAACCGTTTGAAATAATTCCGTGGCAAGGAGAGATGGCAATGCTGTTTTACACTTTGCACATAGAAAAAGGGACAAGCAGATTTTCAGGGCAGCCTTCAGAAATAGAGCCAGTTTTAATAGGATCCCAACCCGTGCACTAATTAAATATTTCACAGCTCCCAAAGTTAATGTGTTAACATTGGAACTTTTTTTCCACCAAATCATACAAATTGGCCCTCTGTAACATCATCCTCCCACCCCAACTACTCCCTCCTGTACTCACCCACACACATACGCACTCTGTGCCACAAACTCCTACCAACCGACCTGTTTTCTGAATGGCATTACAAAGAATTTTGTTAAAGAAAAGTCAGACTAATTGCTGCCAGAAGACCCGTCTCTTAGAGAAGTCTGGTTTTCATAAGCCAGATTCAGTAAAGGTTGTGGTTAAATCTAAGCCGAGTAGAAGGTTCTTAAAGTTTTCTCAGCAAAGAGGGAAAAACAAAGAAACAGTAAGTTCAGCCAAAATGCTCAGTAAGGGGAGGAGGGGAGATGATGGGTAGGAGGGAAATTCAAGAGGGCTCTCTCAACTCTTGTTTCTAGATTCCTCTCCTTAGAAGAGCTTTCTTCAAACTTAGTAACACCAATTGAGATGGTTTTCCTAAGTAGCCCAGCATCGCAGTCACAGGCCAGTGACTTGATTCTCTTGAAATGGCACTAATTTCCAAGGGCTGGGAGTTATACTAGAGGGTATAGCAAGGGATTTTCCAGTCCCAGGATTCCCCGAGGCACCTCCCTGTTCAGTTAGCACCAGCCTTCCTTTCAAATCTCCTGATCAAGTTAGTTGCAAAAAGTCCCTGCAGGAACAGGCAGGTGGATTCTCCCCACTTCTAAGCTATGTCACTGAGGAACACAGGCTTTCCCAGAGCGTGTCAGGGACTGCCACTCCAGCCTTCCCTCCCAGCTCTCCCCCTGGCTTTACCTGAGCTAAACTAGCAAGATGCTGCAGAACCTTATAGAGCGCAGAGACGGAAAGCAGTGGTGGAGGTGAGGTTTGGAGAGACCTTCATCTCTTTGAGTGTTTGAAAAGAAAAATCCCTCCAAGAATGGTCTCATTTAATAATGAGGCTGGTTTAATTTTCGAAGTTTCTCATCAGAACTTTAACCTATGGTTTAATAGGTGCAGTCCCATGACTGGTTAGAGATTCCCTATAACTCATTATCTCCTAATAATGGGTCTCCCCCAAGCCCACCTTGTTCTCATGGATCCAAGAAGCTGGAACCATCTGATCATGTCTCATGTTGCAAGAAGAGAAACCCACTCAGTGTCCCAGTCTCTGAACTTCATGGGAATCTCCAAGATCATTCTGACTTGAAGCAACATCCTCAAGGTTAAGACTCAACACGCCCATGCTCCCTGATATTCCATGGAAATAGTTACCCTTTTTGGAACCATTATCTTGGGTGCTTCCATTCAACTGGCTATGGAGTATGGGGGTAGGAAACAGAATATGCAACAACTACATTATATTGAGTATAGTCTCCCCCAGCGGAGGGTTCTCATAGCCCTTGCCATTCTGGTGGTTAGTATTTAACTTATTTTTTCCTTTGAAGATTACTGCTTCCTTCTGAATCCATTGCCCACTCCCACCCTCACCCCCAGGTAACTATAGGGATGTGGAAATGAGGGCTGGAGGAGGTCTTGGTGTTACTGAGTCTTTCTTTTATTCTGTAATTACAAAAAGATCATAATATAAGCAAATGAATAAAAATTTAAAAATCACTCTTTCTCTTGGCAATTCTTGTGGTTGGGGTTTTGAAGGATGTTATCCATCCTTTACTGTTTTATAACCATAATGAAGTGATTTCTCGTTCTTAAGACATGAAGCTACTGAGCTGTGAAATGTACCCCATTTTCCAGTTTTCAGGATGAGTCAGGACAGCCTTTGCTCCAAAGTCCTATCACTTCTCATCCCACAGCCTGAACACTTTAGAGAACTTAAGGCAGCATGTTGCCAACCACATCTTAAAACTGTGATCATGGAGGTTTGACTTGAACACCTGGGCATCAATGTCAGCAGTGAATTTGGCTCATCCATTTAGTTAATCCGGGAGACTGCAATGATTTCATCTGAATCTGAAAGTGGACCAAGGCCGGTAGGGTTGGCACTGAAGGGTCCATTTGAGCAGGAAACAACTGATCACTTTCAAGCCCTTCACAGTCTTCCTTAGCCTGGACATCTGAGGAGGGAGGGGAATCATTAAGAAGCTACCTGGAGCTTTATGCCGTAAAGGCCCACTATGCTCTAGGACTGTAGAACAAGGAACCATGTCCATTTACATTGCCTTCCTCCCCTTGATCATCATGGGAAAAAAAATGCTGCAGAAGAAAGTACCTAAGTCACTTAAATCAGTCTCAATATGGAGCGTTTGTGGATTTGAAGAAAACTGTATATTACCCTGACGTTCTCATTTTATAAACAAGCAGCAAGGCTGTGTTCTCATAATGGAACTACAATCTCTTCTGTTTGTGTGTTATTTGCATAATAATTGCTACACAAAATCAAACCTCACGCCCAGTCTTTTGCATTTGACTTTTTTCTCCAGCGTCAAAAATATTTCCTATGTGCTTCTAAGATCTTTTTGAGAATCCATCTTTTCACTATCATTCCTCCTTTCTTTTTCTCCTAATCAATTAAAAGCTTTTTCTCCTGAAGCTAGGAATTCAGCCAAAATATCAAATCAGGAGTGCGTGAGACTTCCACATTAACCGAGGCAGAAATCTTCAGATCCAACTTTTATTTACGCCTGTCGCCAGCAAGAAAAGAGAGATTGGATATGTACGTGGAAATCAGCGCTGGGAATTTTTTGTCATAGCATTTTGAGTCAGAAACCACCAATAATATCCTCTAGACAGGACCCTTCTGGGTGCTAGGCCCATTTCACAGAGCTTGTTTCTGCCTGTCTTTTTATCCCACTGGACTGCCCAAACACTCCACATAAGCAGTCGATTTCTGTGGTTTCAAAGAAAAAAAAAAAAAAGATGAAACATGTCTTCTCTTTGAGGGTGACCTTTGACCTTTCTTTCCAATACACCTGACACAAAGGGCTTAGAAAAGACCCGTTTCGGGTGCGGGGTGCTGATGCTGCTTTTTTGTTGTTCGTTTGCGCTCGCGCTCGCTCTCGCTCTCTCTCTGCATCCCCCTCACCCCCTTTCTCGGAGACTGAACTAAGTGAAAAGTTGTTTCAATAATCGCAGCTCTCTGCTCCGCCAGGGCCGAGGGAGGCGGGCGGAACACGGAGGGTGTTTTGTTAAATGCTCCCGTCGTTCGCAGGGGCTGGGACTTGATAAAAGGAGACAGTTTTCTGAAAAGATTTGATTGAAATGGCGTGTGCCAGGGCTGATGGGAGCCAGCGAGGGACAAAGCGCCGAGAATCCATGGACACTCGAGCAATTATGCCTCCACGCTGAAGGTGGATTAGCGCGCTGGAAAGAAGCATATGTTTGGCCCGGGGCGACACTTCCCCCCGGCTGAGCTTAGAGAATGGGAGCGCGGAGAGCGGCTGGACCCGGAATATCAACTATCTGCGAAGCCCCCCCTTCTAGCCCAACTCCGCCAGCCTCCCCGCCCCCGCCGGGGAAAAGTCGGAGTGCATTTTTACAAAGATGAGAGGAGAAGAGAGGGCTAGGGGAGGAGCGGGCAGGGAGGGGAGTAGGTGCCTAGAGGTGCAAATGGCCCTGGGATCCCCCAGGAGCGGCCCTCCAGGCTCTCCTCTCTGGCGATCCCGAGGGCGCGTCCGTCCTTGGGTGTGGAAACCCAGAGGGGGTCAAATAAATGCTCCCCTATGGAATTTCCCACTGCTAAGGTAGTTCGGTCCAGGATGCCCGCTCAACGCGTATTGGAAGGTCAGCCGAATTGTTGCAATGAAACAAGGTTTTAATGACTAAAGATGCAAGTGCCTAAAAGGTTGCGTTGGGCAGGAGGCGCTTGGAGGGCAGCGCGGGTTCCCAGCCATTCCTTGGGTCCAGGTCGAGGAAGGCCTCGGGAGACGAGTCCCACAGTGAGATATTTGATGAAATGGGTCGGGGCTGGAAAGCTCGGACAGGCCGCATGGGAGAGAAAGGGTGCGGGTGCGGCAGTCGGATCCCCACGCAGCTCTATCTGCTTAGACACCCGGGCGAGGGATGCTTTGGGAGTTTGGAGCCAGAAAGTTTCCCAGACCCTGCCTCCAGTCATTAATTAAAGCGCCCTTCCCGTGGAAAAAAAAAAGGCCCTTAAAACTCTGACCTGGAGCCTCCCGGCTCTTCCTCACTGCACCCGCAAGCGCGCTAAGGGAGACGGGAGGCACAAGCAAGTCCCAAACCTTTCTCTGGGTTTTACTGCAGTTTAATTGGGTCTATCCTGGACGCGAGTGCCGGTGGCCGCTGCCCAGGCCGTCCACATTTCCCTCCCTGGCTGTCCTTCGAGCCCCTACCAGTCCTTCCTCTCCCTGCCGCCCAAGCCCAGGCAAGACTCGAACCGCCCGTCCCACACAATCTCTACCATCCCCCCACCCCCACGCCCAACGCCAGACAGTCCAAATCAAGTAGCGAATAGCTCCTAATACAAAGGGGTGCATGGCAGGATATTTTCGGGGAATTCAAATAGGGCAGCGCCCTGCCAGCGGGTGGGGTCCTGGGTGGGGCAGGTGGGACCCAGTGAGGGGGTGCGCACCGCGCTGCCTCCTCCCAGGCAGGGGTCCAGGAGACCAGAGCTGAGCTCTGGCGCTGGGGACTGACTCCATGCTGTGGACAAAGGCGCAACCCAGACTTGGGGACTCCAAAAAGACAGGGGGGAATCCTGAAATAGGATATGGTAGCTGACAAAGCAAAAGGAAATTTGATCCTAGCGTTAACTCGGTGCCCCAGGGGGAAAAATTATCTTAAGGTATATTAGCTAAATTTAGTTTGATCAAACACACACATACACACACACACCCCACAAGTGTGTGTATATCCATATCCTGAGGATAAGCTGGATTTTAAAACGGTGATGAGACCAACTCTAGAGAGAGTTTGGAGAGATTTGTTCCCAGTCCAAAAACAAAAAAGAAAAAAACAAAACAAAAACCCGGAAGGCCTGGGCTTTTTGACTTGTAAAACTTGAGAGTCATGATAGACACGCCAAGATCGATTGCTCATACAGGGGCTGTGGACCACCTTCAGTTGAGGGCGTGTGTTTAGGTTTGTTACTGGAATTTAAAGGACGCGATCTTTATTGCCATAGAAAAATCACGTGCAGCAAAAGCATAGCATGGGTTGGGTCACTTTTTAAAGCTCCCGCCCTGCTGATGAAAATATTCCCGCCCCCTTAAATGGGCGTTAAAGGAAAGTCAAAGGAAGACTAGGAAGTTTCCTCAAAGTCCTAGAGACCCTTTTTTTTTTTTTTTTTTGGTGAGAGAGAGAAAAAGGGCGATCTGTTGCAAGTGTCTAATGTGGGGAGGTCATCTCCCTGGGCCACTGCTTCTCTACACACTTCTCCAGCAATATATTAAGTGTTGCTCTTTTGTTAAGAAAGAAACATCTCTGTGAAAACTGAAGTTTGTTCTGCGCTATCCTTTTCGGGCATCAAAGATGAAAAAGAAATAAAATTTTACACATGAATCACACTTAAAGTTTCGTTTTAGGCCTCCCAAATTCAGCCTGAAATCACTTTTCTTTCCTCCTTTCCTTATTTTTTTAAACACAGGAACTTTCCATATACATGAATTATCTAGTTTTCCATCCCAACATTCTCTCTTTCCACTCTCATGCCTTCCATGGGAAACATCAGTTACTTCTTTGAGGGTAAGACTCGGTGCATAATGTGATTGTGAATATTTCTCATCTGTGTCCACACAGGCAAAGATGAGTTTGGGCTACTGGTTTTGCAGAAAGAAGTCAATGTCTTGTTCAATCAAACAAGGGCTCACTATGAATAAATACTTCACCTCAGACAAGTTCATCCTTGCCTTCAGAAAAACCGTTGACCAAATTCTGATCATTAATGGGATCATCAGTTTGAACTCATGGCTAACCTGGCAAATAATGTTTTTAAAGACATTGAAAGAAGGAATCCATAACAGGGTCAAACTTTTTCAGTTTCCCACCTAAGGTGGGTCACAGGGAGGACCGTATCATTAAGAGTAGTAATAGGCCAGGCACAGTGGCTCACGCCTGTAATCCCAGCACTTTGGGAGGCCGAGGTGGGTGGATCACCAGGTCAGTAGTTCCAGACCAGCCTGGCCAACATGGTGAAACCCATCTCTACTAAGAATACAAAAAGTAGCCAGGCATAGTGGTGTGTGCCTGTAATCCCAGCTACTCAGGAGGCCGAGGCAGGAGAATTGCTTGAACCCGGGAGGCAGAGGTTGCAGTGAGCCGAGATCGCACCACTGCACTCCAGCCTAGGTGACAGAGCCAGGCTCCGTCAGTTGGGGTGGGGAGGGGGAGTAGTAATAATAATAGGAAGCTGAGATGGCATACCTGTGCAACTCAGGTAGTAAACCAAGTTTAATATAGAAAAGAATCGTTCACTGAAATTCACAAGGAAAAATATCCCGGAGCATCCTAAAAGGGGATGCAGAGGTGTGAAAACTGATATTACCTGTTGTGCTCCATGGTTTCATTCTTCTGGGATGGGGTGGTTGGGTGATGTTAGGAGTTGAATTGGGCTTTTCTGAGGTATGCGTGGGTTTTATTTTTTTCTTCTCTGCTTGACTTTAAGATTTCTTTCACCCATAGCACTAAGCACTACGGAAACATGGATGTGTTTCTTCAAATGCACAACTTGGATAATCAAGTAAATTATAAAGCAAATTTCAGTACTCTTGCCTCAGAACCGCTGCCATCTCTGCACCTGTAATGTAGACAGTGAAAACGCTGGTTATTTATTTTGTACTTTCTGCCTCTCAGATCTCTTGTGAGTTGACCCGATTTTTACAGCCCTTTTACCCAAGCAATGAGGATTCTTCCCCACTCTACTTCCCTCCACCCCTCAACCCTATAACTGAGTGGCTTAGGAGATCTGTAACTGGGATGAAGCAGCTGTTGGCTTCACGCCGTCCTCTAACTTGATTATTCTTTGGACACGTTAGGCAAGCATTAGTGATTGATAATGACGCTAATTAACCCCTTTCCTTTCCAAACAGTAAACTGCTGCCAGCAGGATGCTACAAACAATAAATATAAAACACTGCATACATCAATATCTGTTTAAAGCACAACTTCATTTGGGCACATTTAACTGTACTGCTTTCAGTTAACAATTGGGTATTTATTCAAGTACTTCTCCAAAAGCCAAAGGGGGAAGCAGAGGAAGAGAGAGGGTTAAGAAAAGGAGCCTGTGGCTTTAAGACCACAAAATGCTGTCATACCTGTCAGCTGCAGCAAAGTTAAGCTCTCATGGAAACCATGCATAATTTTTTTTATTTCAAGTCTATACTTTTAAAAAACTTAATTAATCCAGCTTTGTTCTTAACCTATTTAAACTTAACGCAAGGCTGATGACCACAGATGATTTTTTTCTTTGTGGGAGAAAGTAGCTCTCCTGCCTGACATGGAATTATTGTGAATTTACTTTTGGCTGACAAAAGGAATGGGGAGACATCATCTCTTTCAGAGGGTGGTAAAATGTATATGTTAAGCAGGATTTGGGGAAACCAGGGCAAATTTGATCTGACTGTGCAGTCTAACATAACCTGAGTTGTAAAGAAATGTACATTAAATTTGGAATTTTGATAAATGAATATTCCTAGCAAGTGAATAAAATGTATTCAATTAACTAAAACCCTGTGCACTTCTGAACTGAAGTGGAATCGACTGTAATTGATTTATTTGAAACCAGAGGTTAAGGACTGAATTAGCTAAGTACAACTGGGTATTTCAAGCCACTGACTTCTCAAATGTCAAATCCCTTCTATTTTAAATATTATTTCAGCTGCGGGGCATTGCAGTCCTGATGGTAGTTCCATCAAGAACGCAAATTGTATTAATATTCGATTTTGGGGAGGAATGGATGGGATTGTAATTTTTAAAGGGTGTTAGAGAATAGAGGGGGTAATGATGACTACCAAACTCGAAGGAGCATTGTGTTTCCATAAAAATTGGGTGTGGTAATTAGCATAGCCTGGCAAGCATCCTTATAATTCAACTATGTATCCTAATTTAGTTTAGTCAAAAAAAATCACTGTTGTTAGTTTACAAACACCTGTCCTGTCAACTAATCACCATGTGTTTTAGAAAGTATACATTGGTCACCACAGAGAAAGCCAAAATCCACCGAGCCTTTGGTTAGCCCAATAAAAGTTATTTTTAATATAACCTCTCTAATCCTCCCATTTCTTAAAAATATATGTAACTTTTTAAAAATTTTGTTTAAAAAAAAAAGGGTGACAATATCATGATCTTCAAAATGTCCACCTACCGAATAAAAATAACTAATTCTCTGCATTTGGAAACCATTGTTTATTATGACCTTGTAATGTTCTAACCCACTATTTCCTTTCTGTCTTTCTCAGGATGCAAGGATTATATTGGGTTCAGGTTTTCCAACATAACAAGCATCTGTAAATCCAGATATGAATGAATGGTATTTAATAAGATTGTTTTCGTTTTAAAATGAGTATTTATGTGTCATTGGAGGCAGAGCAGCAATGTATGGCTGTTTATGAATGCTATTGTGCCTGAGGTTAGGATCCCCCACACAATCTGAGATGCAGCCAAGAAAAACAGCCCTGATAGACAATGCTTCACTTCACCTGCTACAATGCTGTGTGCATTTCATTTCTGTCAAGAGTATGTACAGTTAGGGTTCATTCGCCTCATTATTTTGTTACATCTACGTTACAGTTAACCAGTCTCTCTAGGAAATAATAAATAACCGCTTTAAAAAACAATTGCCGCGTTGCGTTCTGAGAATACACTTTCCATTTGAATTCTTTTTTAAACCCACCATTGTTATGAATTCTCTGGCTTCGGAAAATAGAATTCAGACTCCACCAACTCGCGTTCGTTTGTCGAGATTGATTTTACACTGCCTTCCATAAGGAGATTAGAAAGCAAAAGGCTGCAAAATGGACACTCTCTAATGCTTTGCTTCCTTGGTCCTTCGGAATGTCAGAGCGCAGGAACAAATGTGAAATCCTACCAGTCTGTCTACCTAGACACTTGTTCTGTGGCCTTTCCTCTCAACCTTCCAGTTAACCACCTCCTTTTGCTTGTTAAAAATCCTCTTCACTTCCAAAGCAAAGAATTTCCAAATCAGTTTACAAAAGCTCTGGATTCGCCATCTTTATGCACAGGAAGTCCTTCCTTCTCTCAGAGCTCAGCACACAGTCCTCTTATTGTAGAAGACAGATAGGAGAGGTCTGGAGAGGCAGGCTTCACAGCCCTCCCCCATCCTCCCCACCCCACCTCAGAGAACGTTTTGTATTTCTAAAAGGTTCTAAGAGGAGCCCTGTGGTGATAGGAAGGGGTGGGCTGGCATTTAGGGGCAAGCAGGAAAGATTCCAGGGATCAACATCATTTCCCACTCCCCTCTCTACCTCGAGAGCTACTGAAGAACAGCACAGTAGTAAATTCATCTCTAAATAAAATATGAAAATAAATGGGAGACAATTTGCCCTCTCTTTCCCTGCTACATGTATATTTCTGCCACTATTCCTTTTCTCCCGCCAGAAATCTAGAGCTGGTCTGAGCTCATTTGCCCGTCTTAGCCGCTGACTACCCTGAGCAAGCAAGTGAAGGTTGAAGTCGGTATTTCCTTTGTGCTAATGAACTAACAATTTAAATCTCAGTTATCCTCTGAGACAAATTCCAAAGCAGTTATGGGGGGCGGGGGGGGGGGCTGTTAGGCGGGGGGCCTGCTGGTGGGAAGTTTCTTCTGTTCTTCTCCATCTTCCTTGTCATCCTTAACATTTGGTCCTGGAGATTTTATATTTTGGTTTCCAAAACACAAATGAAAACCTAAAGGATCAACATAAATAAAATAAAACTTTATTTTTAATAATAAAATTAATGTTTCTAGTAAGGAAAAGACAGTATGTCATTCCTTTAGCAGTACAAACAATCTTTTATCCAAAAGAATACATTGGGTTTTATTGTGTCATTTGTCTGAATACAGACACAGTGGAATATCTAAATGATACCCTGCTCTGAACTCCAAGTTGAAAGTAAGTTTTTATTATACTTGAGGGAAACAATGGGTTCAGCTGCTTATTGCAAGGAGCAATTGCCAAGGGAGAGTTAAACTCAATTACTGTAACCATACTGAATAAAAAATACTGCCAAGAACAAAAATACGCCTGGGTAAAGACAGCCACTGAATAAAAAAAAATCGACATAAAGCGTATCAAATATTTATTTATCTGGGCAACAAAGGACTATGATACATTGACAGGCATGGAAACTACTGCCAGCACAACTCAATACAATGCAACTAGAACTGCTTCCAATATGGCCAGTGAAAATACAGAATACCAGGTGGTCCCAAATGTTTGAAGTTCTTTGAACAGAAAGAGAGAGGAGAGAGAGAGAGAGAGGAAAATTCCCTAACCCTTGGTTTAAAGACAATATTCATTTATTGCTCAAATGATGCTTTTAAGGGAGGACAGTGGAATAAAATAAACTTTTTTTTTTCTCCCTACAATACATAGAAGGGTTATCAAACCACTCAAGTTTCAAAATCTTTCCAGGGTCCAATATCACTTTTTTTCTTTCGGTTCAATGAAAAGCTAAATGTAATAATACTAATTATAGATAAAATTTTATTTTACTTTTTAAAAATTTGTCCAGCTGTTTGTCACCTTTAACATGCTACAACAGGGCTAAATTCATGAATCCCAGAGAAAAAAATCCCCCAAACACTGGATTTCTAAATCAGTACCATGAACCACATGAAGAACTAATAGGGAAGATTCAAAACCCACTAAACAAGAGGTAAACAAGATCAGATAAATAAAAAAAAAAAGGCTTAAAACAGACTCACCATATTTACAATTCCCATTAAATTACACATAAATAAATATATACAGAGACGTGAACACTGATTCCCTTATATAACTGCGAATCGTGTTGCCAGAGAAAGTTCAAGTTGGTCGCTTTACCTTAAAGAGGAAAAACTTCTACAACTGAAGACATGACATGGAACTTCGTGTATTTGTGTTCAAGTTTATTCACAATACTGATAAAAATGTTGTCATCATCTTTTGGCTTTTTTTTTTTTTTTAAGTATGGCTACAATCTGAACTGAAGTATGTAAGGGAAGGTGGTGACTCAGTCCCATGAAGCGCATATAATTTTTTTTATTTTCACTTTTTTTTTAGAAAAAAGTTTTTAATTTTTGTTGTTGTTGTTGCTGTTGTTGATTTGTTGTTTTGTTTAAAAAAAAAAGGGTTCACAAACTTGGCAGAACTTTTCTCTGCTGGCTTCACGGCCTGTTCTGTTCTCTTAGGCTCCACATGAGGGCACAGGGGTGTGGGAGCGGGTGGGGAGGTCGAGGCGGGTGCAGAGTCGGAGAGGCTGCCCCACTGACAGTCGAGAGGGCAGTCCCGGAGACTCGGGGGGACCCAAGGGCAGCGGCGGCGGCGGCGGCGGCAGCAGCAGCAGCAGTAGCAGCAGCAGGAAGGGTTGCTGATCCCGGAGCTGTCACCCGCCGGAGGGTGGGCGCGCGGGGGGCTGGTGAGGCGTGGGAGGGGCGGGGCGGGAGGAGAGCCTCACTTTCTGTGCTTCTCCTCTTTGTCACTGCTTTTGGCGTTGTTGTCCGTGTGGCTGTTGGGGTTGTTGCTGAGGTACATTTTGTCCATGGCCTTGAGGGCCTCGGTGAGATAGTTCTGCAGGGCCGTGACCGCGGCACACACCGCGGGGCTGCCGAAGCCGTGGGAGATGAGGTTGAAGTGGGTCAAGCAGCTCTGGATGCCGGGCTCCAGGATGGGGTTGGGCCGTGAGTTCCCCAGGGGAGATCGGTCCTGAGCCAGCAGGTCGGTGAACTCTTTGCATATCTGTCTGCAGCACAAGTGGAGCAGAGAGAGAGACATAAGGCTCCACTATGGGCAGCACTAGCAGCAAAGAGAAAACCTCCCTCCCTGCAGCTACCTCTGCCGGGATCCAGCCGGTACCTGACATGACCCAAGACCCCAGAGACAGACAGTGTGGCCACATGTTGGGAGATCCAGCCACCTTTCAGTGACCACTAAACCATCTCTCTTTACTTCCTACCTTCACAAATGACTCTCTCTCTCTTTCCTCTCAGATATGGTAAACTTTTATTCCCACCTTTCTCCCTCACACAAAACATCCTAGACATAGGAAACCATTTCACACATTGGAAGAGAAAGAAAGGAGTCACGCAGACCGGAAGTCAGAAACAGTAGCATCTTGCGAACATTATGCTGCAGCCATCAGCCTTCCTATTCAAAATGTCATAAAGACCCTCTTCCCTGCTCCTCTAGAGAGACCTCAGCAGCAGTTTGTAGAATGAAGTCCACACTCGTTCACCTTCAAATCAAATTCAGGTCAATGTGGACAGAGAGACAAAACTTTACTTGGGATTATTTTGCCTTTAAAAAACAAGAATAACAAAAAAACAAAACGGGCCCACACAAGCCCTGTTACTTGGAGATAATTCAAAGTAGTGTTTGGGAAGAAGAAACAGACATTTCGATTTCCCATTCCTCCTCTTTCCCCACATAGCTCAAAATAAAAATACTGCAGGGAAATTGTGGAGATGGGTGTGCTTACGAAGCCTGGGGAAAGAGAAAGTTGAAATTTCGCAGAGGTAGATGAGGCCTGCACTCAGGAAGCTCTGTCTCTGAATCTGGGAAGCAAGGGCTAGCTGGGGCCTTCCAGGGGCAGCAGCAGCCTGGCCTGGGGGGCTGGGGAGGGGGATGAATGAGGAGCCTGGGCTGGCTCCCTTCTCCAAGGCCAGCTGATGTCCCCAGGCCAGAAACAGGGTCCCACCCAAGGCCTCAGCTTCTGCCCTCTGCTTCCATGCCCTCCTGTGACATCAACTTTGATAATTAAGGGCTTCCAAACAAGCCTTTTAATTTCCAGAAAACACATCAAAACAGTCATTTTCTTTTCACACATCACCTGGAGAAGCCTATTCAGCCCAGGCACCGATGGGAATATAACTTGGGCCATTTTGAAATCTATTTGACTTCTCGCCTGTGGGCTAAAACTTATGTGGGGTGTGGGTCTCTCTCTCTCTCTCTCTCTCTCTGTCTGTGTGTGTGTGTGTGTGTGTCACTTTCGAGAAGGGGTTGTGAAAGGAAGGTAAGAAATGGAATAACAGATTAGGGTTGAAACTAGGACAGCTTCTGGCTTGCACATTTTGCAGGCCACTGTTTAATCTTTGCCCTTGGAGAACATATTGATAGGATACAAAAACTGATATAGGTAAGCCTGTTACCCCTTTGAGGATTTGATTCTGGTCTTTCTGAAACAACATAGTCACAAATCCACCCTTAACTTCAGTCAAACCCCTCCTACAACCCACTCCCATACACACTCATTAAAAAAAAAAAAAAATGAGTAAATGGGACAGATGAGAGGAAAAAGATGGGAGCGCCCAAGAATCCCACCTGTATTTCTTCCTTAACATAGACTATATATAAGATGGTGTTATAACTGCAACAAAGCTGATTAACACAAAAGGAAAACAAGGGAGAAGGAAGAGCAAAAACGATTTTTGTTTCTCTTTCTCTTGACAACGAGACACAGAGACCCCATAGAGGTAAATGCCTTACTTTGTAGCCAGGAGCATGTTTTTTCTTGTCACTTGCTCATTGGGATCGGAATGTTGTCGGTTGAGAAATTCAGCTACTGCTTTGGCAGGAAATTCGGTTTCGCACACGTACCCAAAGTCCCTGGCTAGGTGGACAGCTTCTCCTGGCAAGAGGGGAGAGGAGGGAGCCAGTGCGAGAGAATGAAGAGTGGGGATCCTAACTTCCTCCCCACTCCCAACTCCCTAATTCCCTTCACCCCAGATGTTGCAGGAAACACAAACTACTTGTTTTCTCATTTCAGGCATTTTATTTCCTTCTCTGTAGGATCTGGTGGATGCATTTATCAGGAAAAATGACCACTTCTCCTAGAGGGCCAAGAAGACTTGAAAATGAAAATCTCATCCACCAACCTCCAGTCCCATCCCCCACCCTAAATGACACTTCTCCAAATTCTCTTTTAAAATGCTTCTTGTATTCCAACTTCACACCTATCAACACATTCATAAATGATATTCATAATTACTCTTTGAGCTTTTCTGCAAGGGAACAACTGAGGGGTTACATTTTAACTTGATCACATAAATTATCTGTTCATCCAAACCGATTAACCAAGAGGATTTGAGGGTCACTCCACTGAGTCTGTCTGTGTTGTTGATTTTCGAATCTTTGGTTTTAATTTCCTGAACCAGTTGGTTTTTACTGCAGGGCTTCCTGCCATTAGCTCCAGCTCCGGAAGAACGCATGCGCCAATTAGAGCATCAAAGCCCTCTCCGCAGAGCTTGTTTCCATAAAATGGAGCGGATCACAAACAATAACAGTTCTCCAGAAACTGCCTCCCTGCTACAGAACTCAACCCCCAAACCCAGACGAACTCCACGCTATACCTTAAGCCACCACTACCATTTTCTTGGCTTATAATTCTTTTGGAGTATGAATAGTGGGTTCTCTATGGACTGTTATGATTTTTAATGTAATGGTACTGTAGTTGAGTTTCTGGCACTGAACAATTGCTGATTTTCTAAACAGTTATATTACTATCAATCTCTGACATCATCAACAAAGAGAATTCATAGGATTCCTCCTCAAATATATGGTTTTAAACATTTTAAAAAATAATTTACAAAGCCAGAACTTAAATTCAATTGTAATATATCTCCTCAAATACAAGATGTGAATGAAATAAAATGACTTCTTTAAATATATATACATGCTAGTTTTAAAATCTGTCTGGTAATTAAAGTAACTTTTTTTTCCCTGTTAGCATGAGATATTTACAATAGGACACAAAGAAAAACACAGGAGAGCTATAGATTCATTCCAGTACACCAAAACCTAGGCCAATCTTGTATCAGAAAAACTTAATCTAGAGGCAGCAGGAATATGAGTGGCTTCCGGTGGCAGTTATCTAGAGCAGGGAGTGAGGATAAGGGTTGGCTTTTTGTTTTGAGGCATTTGGAAGGGTGTATGTATGTTTAAAGCTACCAGGAGAAACTTTTTGCAATGCTTATATTTATCTTTCCATATCCACATCATCCAGAATCAAAAATTGCTCACTTTTCTTCTTCTCCAAGAGAAAAGCACAATTAAAGAGATAAGGGAGCATATGTTTGGAAAACAAAGACCTGAAAGGGCACATAACCCTGAGCTTTCAGGATGGTCTTAAATCAGGACGCAGGTCAAAGATTCCCAAATTAATTCAGGAAGTAATGGTCACGCATTTCTCAAACGCAGATGTCAGAATAACTTAAGTTATTTACTGCTGAGCCCTTTAAAGGAGACAAACTTGGAGAATGTGCAGTTCTTAAACTTGTGCGTTGTTTAGCTCAGAATTAGGCTGGGGAGGTGTAACTTTATGGTAGAGGAAAAGAAGGAAGAAGGATGGAGGTATAGGAGTACATGCAAATGTTTCTTTTTGCCATGAAATAATTCCATTCACATCTGGCTATATTCTCTGCAAAGATGAAACTGCCCAACTGACATAAAATACGACCAAACATCTGGCCACTAAATATTATCCATTTTCCAAGAAGGAAGTTCCTTCTAGTTAGCAAGTGGATTCGCTTACCCTCTACTAGTGATGTGAGCAGGGTAACGTTGGCAGCTTTACGTCTCCCTGCAGGCAGATTTAATCCTATTTTGTCCAGTTTTTCTCTTAAAGATCTTCCTCCATTTTTAGACTTCGCCCTGTTTCACAAATATATGCGAGAAAGGGATTTAGAAAACATTGGGTTGCTCTGCACCACATTAAAATCATTTTGAAAGCTTCCTAAAATGTGCTTTCAAAAACTGAGAAGCTTGGCCCCAAGACATTTAAAGGAGGGAAACCTAGGAATAGTACAGAAGTTCATAGGAGATAAACGCCTGTTAAACTGTAAAGCACCCCCTACGTTCAGTTATTATTGCAACTCTTGTGGCAGGTTGGAAGGTTTTGATTTCCCAACTCTCTAAAGAAGAACCACAAACAAACACAGCCCCATCTCTAGGGTTTGAGGTATTGAGTTCAACTGATTCCTGTATATTTTCTCTGCTGTTACAATCACACCAATCCCAATGGGGTCTTTAAAACTGTCTTTGCAAGATATGCTGTTAGGTTGTTCCGAGTAACCAAAGTTATCATCACTCTCACGTTTCTTGCTCTGGCTCTAGCCCCAAAGGGAAATTCGTTTCGCCAACTGTTTACGTGCCATGTCACCAGCCTAACTGGAAATGTCAAAAGCTGATATCAGCCCTAAAAGTTTCACTGATTTCAGAGACAATGGAGGCAGTTCTAAACAGATGTCTAAATAGAATCCCATAATCAGAAAGTGGTTAAGATAAATTGTTTAAATAAAACAGCAAATTAATTAATTTCAGATTTTATTCCCTACTCAAGTGCTCTTTAATTGTGTGGATTAGATTATACTCCCCTAGGTAAACAGTCTCCAATATTGGGGATGGGGGAAGGGAAGGAAAAAGCAGAGGGCAAGGAAAAGATCTGTGTCAGTGAAAGACTACAAAGGGAAAGCAAAATGACTGTGCAGGAGGAAGAAAAGACTAGAATGGTTGATGTTAAACCCTTCCAAAAAATGATCTTTATAGGCTTTGTGCGGGATATAGCCACTAGAAAGGAACTGTGGGTCTATCAACACATAAGTAAATGAATAACAGTCAAAACAATGAAGTTCTCAGTATTATTAAAGAAGAGAAGAAACATTATCCGGGTAAGTTCAACACAAGCCCCACAACTCACAACGTGCAGTGGAATCCTAGGGGTAGGAAGCCCACAGCAGGGAGAAAACTGCCCTAAGGGAAGGTGCTTTACCTTGCTGACCCTTATAAAATCTTATCTACTAAATGAATCACTCAAACCTCGCAGGGGTGAGGTAAGAATCC
Source organism: Homo sapiens (assembly GCF_000001405.40). Taxonomy (NCBI): domain Eukaryota; kingdom Metazoa; phylum Chordata; class Mammalia; order Primates; family Hominidae; genus Homo; species Homo sapiens. The sequence goes on from NC_000006.12 coordinate 10,403,799, forward strand.
CTGGCTATGTATGTAACAGATGCATTCCTTGGTAGTGACTACACACAATGCACGTAAACATGCTCGCACGCAGCCTGGCACACATCAGGGCCTCAGTAAATTGGGAATCATCATCATATGCAAACGCCTATAGTATGGGGGTCTGGAGATGACAGCGACCGGAAAGCATGGCGTGCGGACTCAAGAGGACAACCATTCTCTTCCTTTAGTTAAAAGCCATTCTATTAAAACCCTATACAAGGCACGACCGGTTACCCTCGGAGACCCTACTCAGAGAGGTAAGGCAAAGCGAGGAGCCTGAGAGGAACTTTTCCTGGGCTTGCAAGGTGTGCGCGAAGAGGGAAAAGGTGGCTGTACGGCGCCCCGCGGCTGCAGTGGCCGGGATTGAGCCCGCGGCGGAGCGAGCTGCGCTTGCGCGAGGAGGAGGGCGGAGCGGAGGACTCCGCGAGCGCGCGGCAGCGAACGAAGCGCGCACCAGAACTCGCTCGCGGGAAAGCAGCGGAGAGCGCAGGCGCGCGCCGCATCGCCCGCTCCCCCGCCCCCAGATCCCGCCCACTTGGCTCTACGCTCTTCTCCCCGCCCCCTTTCCTTTCCCGCGTAGGGAGGGCCGCGGCGCGAGGCCTGTTTGCGTCGCCGCCACCGCCCCGGCGCAAGCGCAGTGGTTCCCCCGGCCGCGGGGCGGGGCGGGCGGGGCCGTGCCGGGCCTCACCTCCGGAGCACTCCGCCCAGCAGCGACGCGTTGAGACACTCGGGTGGTGAGAGCCGCCGCTGCACTTCCGCCACCGTGACCTTGTACTTCGAGGTGGAGCTGAGGAGCGAGAGGCGACCCGGAACTGAACAGAAGACTTCGTTGGGGTTCACCACGCCGCCGAAGAGGTTGTCCTTGTTAATAGGGATGGCGGAGACGGCATTGCTGTTGGACTTGGACAGGGACACGGGGCCTGCGGAGACAGAGGGGAGGCCGCGTGTTGGGCGTCGTGGATCACCCCCAAATCCTGCCCGACCCCGGCCCTCATCCCGGCCAGGGCCGGATCCCAGGCTTTGGGCCACAGTCCCCGCTTTTCCGTCCGGCTCTGAAATTCTGTGGCTCTGCTACTTCCCTTCCTCGGGCTCGAGCCCTTCCCTACCTCACCCGGCGGCCGGGAGGCGGCCCTGCCCTCCCCCAGCCAGCCTGGCCTGCGTTTCTGCCTTGACCCTTTCCCCTTCGCCGTCAAGGGTGCTCTCTAGAGATGGGTGGTGAAATTGGTGACCCCTGAGGCGCTGAGCATCCGAGCGGAGTGGGCCCCAGATGAGGTCCAGGACCACGGGTTCAGGGTGCAGGGGAGGGAATTACATTTGCAAACCGAGAGCAAGTTACTTGTACTTCAGGGGTTTTGCTGGGTGGGGTTTTAGTGTCGGGGAAAAACTGCTTCAAAGACCCATTATTAAAATCAGCCGACAATTTAGATGGCTAAAGCACCCTGTAAACGAGCGTTTTAATTGAGGCACCACGCTGGGAAGTGGTGGATTTTGTTGTCCACACCACACGTCCCGTCTTTTTGATAAATAGGCCCTTTCCTATGTTCAATTTTGAAAACGTCTCAGTTTTGGAGATCCATTCCAAGGCCAGTTTTGAACTGCGGAGTGGGGAGGGAAGAACAGGCCTACAGTGGAATACTAGCAATGTGCCCTTTTGTTAAGTAAATACTTAACAGTCCTCTGCTAAAGCGCCTTTATTGGGAAAGTGGGTATATATACTTCCTAGTTAAAACCATAAGCTCTTTATTGCTGGACTCACCACTGTTAGAAAAAAAAAAAATAGAAGACCTGCAGAAAGTATACTAATGCATTACGTTTCTCAGCACCAGTGTAATTCAGATGCATTCACAACCATTTAAGTACAGTATGCATTGTATTTTAAAATTCCATTTGGAGACATCATATGCACACAATCTCATCACAGTGTTCCTTATGCGTTCTTTAATGGGGATATGCTAGAGGTATAGGGAGGTGGGGGGCTCTAGGTTTTGGATAGATCACTTGTGACATTAATAGCTCTGGGGAGGCTAATAGAGACAATAGGAGTTAAACGAACTCTTGAGAGATTACTAATAAAAGAGCCAATTATCATGTCGACTTGGAAAGAGCATCTCTTAAGATTTATCCCTTGCACATCTAATTTGACGTGACAAAGACTTCACAGATGCAAAAATGAAACTTTAAACTAGCTAACAATATACTGATTGGGGTTAGAAATGAGAACAGTTTTATATAGCATCGTCCTCTGGTGGTGCCTAGAATCCTGAAATGTAACATTGCCACCATAACCAAAAAAAAAGCTGCTACCAAGAGTGAATAGCATTTAATTCAGTAAACTTTATTTCTACTCACTAAACACAATACAGATTACAAATCCATGCAAATCACTTGACACTTTTCTAACAATTTCTCCTCTGAACAAGTATGCTAATATTCCTCCCATCTTCAAGATACTAATTTTAACCAAAAGCTAAAATTTTGTTAACCTAATTCACAAAGTTCTAAGACCCTTAAACAGCTAACAAGAAACTAAATTGAAGAACATGAATGTTTTTTTCCTCTACTAAAGAGTGCTTCTTATCATCTGTTCTTACATTAATGTTAAATTATTTGTACTATTTTAGCATTATACACTTCTTAACCTTCATCCAGGCAATGGATTAAACTATCAAACTGTTTCAAAATTGAAATGCCACTTCCAAATCAGTTCAACTACTGTACATTTTGTGTGTTTGTCCAAATATCATTAAACTAAATTAAATGGTCAAATCATGAGTCAGAACAAAGCTAGCCTGTTGGCATTACCAACATACTGAAGGCTGATTATTTAAGCATTGCTGTTCTGTGCCTATCTATTTGCTAATTCTGAGCCTTTAGGAAATCCTATTTGGAAAAAATAAACACATCTCTGCAAGTTCTTTTAAATAGCACTCTGCCTGTAAGGACATGCTTGGAATGCAGAAGGAAATGGCTTACCTTTCTTAATTACAGTTTGATCTGGGATGTTAATACCCGGGTCTTCTACATGCTGCAACAAAAGGATACACATGGATGTAAGTGTATCATCAAAACAAAAGGAAATGAATATTCCCTGCAAGATGGGAGGAGGGGAAGGTGTAGAATCAAAATTCCCCCTCCCGTATAATGACATTTATATATAAACATCTCATCTTGGCTTATTGGAATTTGGGGCTTTGCAACTCAAGAGGTTTCACTGCACACCCATGGCCAATTTCTCCTCCTCCAGCAAATAATCCATGTTTAAAAGGGGTGGAGATGGGGAATAAAACTTTCTTTGGAAATTAAATCAAGTGTTGGAGCACCTAATCATTCTCAGTCAGTTCAACATTTAGAAATGTACCTAGCTTTAGATTGGCGCCTCAGCGGCTTCTGACTTTAGCAATTCCAGTGTTCAGGCAGCGAAAGCCAGGGAAACACAATAGAAATGACAGGGGCGGGAGTAACAGGAGAGTGTTGGAAAAGAAAAGGTTTAGGTAGTATAATAAAGAGCAAACACACACACCTTTATGGAAAACTCCACATAAATTTTTAGAAAGACTACTGCCTAAGCCTGGGTATGATAGGAATATGAAAATGACCAAAACCAAAAAACCTTTGAGCTTGCTTTCCTGTTGTCCAACAGCAGGTTTGTTGTTAGTGTGGGGTGTTTTTCTTTTTCTTTTCTTTTTTTTTTTTTTTTTTACAGATGGATGGGTATACGTGTGCGCACTAGAGTCAAAACGTGATTAGAAAGTAAAATGAAGTCATGTTTTCTAATGCAGAAACTGACAGGCAATATAATGTCTGGCTGTGTTTACAAATTAGCACCAGGGCTGCTGAGATAGAAGATTTTGCAATCATTACCAAACACAGGCATTACCATTTAAAAAACTATTGCTTCCTTCTCTAGTCTTTGTCCAACAATAATACTGATTCGAACATTTTCCATTCTGTCTTGGATTTATGCTCCTGTTAATTGTGCCTGATCGCAATGATTCCGGGTGGATGGTACTAAGTTGCTTTATTACAGGTTTTATTATACTCAATGCTCTCATTTGTAACTTGCCTAAAGTGCTTCTGGATTTAAGTATAATTAAATTGAGAAATGTTCAGAAATGACTACTGCTGCAGTTCTTGTGTTTTAACTATATGGGGAAATATGATCCCTTTATGCATGCACCCTAAACCCATAAAGTAAATGTAGTGTGGCATAATACTTTTATTTGTGTTATTTCTAGACCTTGTCCATACAGGGAAGACTGTTAAGTTTAAAACCCCACTGAGATATTAATGATTAAATAATTTTCACCATCGATTTGATTTTCTTAAATATTTAGCAGTTATACTTACTAAAGGTTAACTGTTGCAGCAATGGGAAAAAATTGAAAACAACCTTTTTCTTGACCCAAATTCCTTTGAAAGAATTTTTTTCTTAAAAGATGGGGGAGGGAGAGGGAAAAACAGCAACTGGGTTTCCTTGTTTTTGTTTAATCTTTTAGTTAGTTTCTCCTACTGACCAATTTTGCCACAAAGAGTGAGTATACAGGTGTTAAGAATTCACCTTGAAATTTTTGCAAAGTAGAGCAATTCTCATTCACAGTAGTTCCAAAAGCTTGCAACATTATTTTGCAATTCAAATATTTTCAAAGAACAAGCAAGGAAAAGATTCAGAGTGCTTTGGGAAAGGGAACTAAAATAATCATAACTCCCAGTTCATGTTTAAATTGCTCTTATATAAATTAGTGCTCCTCTCACTTCCAAAAAAATGCACTGTTAAGTATCAGTTTCTAAAAACATGTAAGTATGAACACACATATACAGACATACAGTGCTCACTAAACCTTATACTGGATCAAGTGCCCACTTTCCTGCCTTCCATGCAAGGGCTGCTAAACATAACCAACAAATTTCAGTGACTAACTGGGCCAAATGAGAGATGTAATAAATTTTCTATTTTCCTACGGAACTTAAATAATGTTTTAAATTCACCAAGCAAGGAGGTAAGTTCATCTGACCATTTTCCTTACAATCTAATGTAGTAATCATTAAACTGTCAACGGACATACTGCTGCAATATTTGATGCAGTAATTTGAAATAGCATTTTAGTAAAAATCACATCCAGATACATTTCCTCTCCAAAGAAAAGCAGCTTTAACAGAAGCCTTTACAGCTTTAATAAAATTATTGGCTTGCTCTAATTCCATTTCAGGAGGGTTGTGAGGAAACCATAAATATATAGAATTGAAGCAGAGGTACTGGTTTAAGTTTAATTCCAGAAAGTATTTTCAAATTATCAATAGCCTGGTTTGCATTGTAAATAGTAAATGTGCTAATGCCATGCTTATTTAGAAATCATTTTAAACTGCATTTATTGATAACTAAATTAGAACTCAAATAATGTATTACCCAATAGTCTCGAAACATTTAATTTAATATGGAGTGTAGCAGGTTCTGATAGGCGTTGGGAACCTAGCTAATGATTTATGAGGTCACCACTTAGCACCCCTAGTAAGAAGAAGGCTGCATTTTAATGTCCCTCTGCTTGGATTTGCTACTTAGTTTTTCTTTAATCAGGATAGGGTGTACACATAACTTTTAGGTTTCACTTGTGCTTATAAAATCCGGTTAAAATGATCTTAGTGTGTCTTTTACACTTCCTTTTACATTTTGAGGACATTTAATGAGCTCTTTTGGTTGCATTTAACATCATTCCCAGGACAGGGAGAAATCTCCACGCCAGACTCAGCGATGGAAGTAGATCTTTTAGCAATTGAGACAGTTTACTGTCGTCGAGAGGAAGATATTGTTAATGGTGACATTCGTCTGATTTATCTGTGTTGGTGGAAATGGTAATGCAGGCATTGTTTGAGGGAGCTCCAGAAACCATTGTTCTGGGGTAGAACTCGCAACTACTTTGTGTGGTTCCTCAAAACGTCCCTCACTCTCCGCCTCCGAATAAAATGTTTTTATAAGGAAATACTAGGGAGAACCCGGGCCCACCGACTGTATGTTCCAGGTATCCTTTCTGGGGTAGGTAAGTAGGGGGCTGTGTTCCCTCCCGCGCTGGTTGCGCGGCCTCTTACCGGGACCTCCTCGATGGCGTGAGGTAAGGAGTGGATCGAGAGGTCTCCGAGTCCTGAGCTGAGCGCGTGTGGGCCGTGCAGGAGGTCCTCGTGCCGCCTGTAGTCCCTGCGAGGATCCAGGCCCGACAGCTGGTGAGGCAGCCCCCGGTGCGTGTGCAGGAGCCCAGACTCCTGGCTCTGCCTCTGGCCGGGCCAGCCTGGGTGCTGCGGCTGCGGCTGGGCGTGCAGGGGGTTCAGGCTGTAGGGGTCGTTGACGTGGGAGTAAGGATCTTGCGACTGGGGGTAGATAGGCTGGTAGGGTGGGGGGAAGTATGGGGGCTGGAAGTCGGCATTGGGGGTGTGGGACAGCGGCGGGGCGCTCGTGTAGGGAGATTGACCTACAGTGCCCAGCTGGGGCAACCGTGCCGTCCCGTTGCTGGTGCCGTCGTGACGGTCCTAGAAGAGAGCGAGAGGAAAGGTAAAGAACAAGGAATCAGGCGTCGAGCTACAACTATCCACACAAAATCCACTTGACAAGTCTGCGTGGGAAATCGCCCGTTCCCGTTGGCTGGCCGCCGGGAAAAAATCAGCTCTAAGTTCTTTTCAGGAAATACCCTCAAGTGAAACAGACCGAACAACGCAGAGAAACTGTATATGGAGGGGGCACAAGAGACTATTTAGGGGTTTCTTTCAAAGAGAGGAAAAGATAGAAAAGGGTCTCCTGGAACACAGCCCATTAAACTGCAGCGTGAAATCTCTCTTAAGCAAAATTAAAATTCCTCCTAAATACTAAACAGCAGAAGCGGCCTTTTCTTTTCCCCCGATTTGAACCTGTCTGCCACTGCGTTATTGTTTATTCTCTTCCATTTATTTGGAGAGAAAAAAATCATAAACGTTCAAAGACTGTTACCGTTTCATGACTACTTAAATAGAAACATATTTCGCAGAGGGGCTGTAACAAAAACACACGTTTAAATTACCAGCTTAAAGAAGGTTTTAACTGCAGGATCGGGGTCTGTCTTTTTCGCTTCCTCTGTTAGGAGCCTTTTTCTCGACAGAGTCGATTTATGGTTTGGATAGGGAAAGGGGGACGTCAAGTCAAGGTTTAAAATAGAAAGATTCAGCCTTATTGGGTTTAAAAGAGAGAGGTGCACCCCGGGGCTGTGGCCCCCCCCCCCCGCCCCTTCCACCCCAGCCCCAAAGGGCAGAAGAAACGCCTGACTTTAGGTTTCTCTATTGCAATTCCCTTGCAAAACAAGCGAAGAGAGTTGATTCCAGAGACCGCGAACCCTCGGCGGTTCGGCCGCAGGTCCCGAGGGTAGGGGGCACACCGCGCTGCACTTTTCCTGCAGACAGTTTAAGCATCAAATGTTGAGAACATCTCGGGGACAAGTGAAGACTCAAGGAAATCAAGATGAACGTGGGGAGAAACACGCCTTGGGAAGCCGCGGCGAGGTAGGTCTGCGTGCTCGGAGAGGTCGAGCGGGGGCTGGGGTAGGGGGTAATGCACTCGATTTAGGGATGGAAAAGAGCGAGAGAAAGGCGGAAGGTGGGGTGGGGGATGCAAATGGAGAGGGTGTCCTGAAGGAAAGCTGGGCGTGAAACCCGAGGTTTCGGGCAGCTCCACGGCACCAGGTTTCCAGAATCCAATTCCTAAAGAAACAGCAACGGGGGTGGGGATGGGACTCACCATGGCTGAAAAACTGTGAACTAACATCTGCGAAGAGTCTGGGGTAACGAGTCAGGGTGGAAAAAAACAAGCAAGCCTGGAGCGCCCGGCTGCCCCGCCGCCCGAGCGCGCCCCACACAAAAGGCGCCGAGAGCCCCGCGCCACCCAGGACTCCAGTCACGGCGCCGACGCTCCCCGGAGCGCGGGAGCCCGGCTCGGATCCATCCGAACTTGAACCACCGATTCGCGCGGCGCCTTCAGCTGGTCGAACCCACGGTCTCTATCCTGCCGCGACTGGTTATGATTCAAAGTTCTTTAAAAATGAAAAACCCCAAAAAAGGAAAAAGGAAAAAGTATGTGTGAGTGTGTGGGTGCGTGCGTGTTCCTTAATCCGTGTCTCCCCCTCTTTTCTTAGCGGCGGCTTCGCTTGAGCTTCTAATAACCGCGCTGGGCAGCGTTCCTGGAGCCTCCTAATAGCAGATATTCATGACTATTAATATTACACGAATACTTAATAAGGGAAGAATGCCTGGAAATCGAGCGTGAAGCGGAGAGGCAACTCGCGCCGGAGCCGGCTCTCAATGCAGTCCATTGACGGGAGTCTCAGTGTAGCAAATCGGAGTGGGGAGAGGGAGCGCGAGAGACAAAAAGCGAGCGAGAGAGGGAGCGGGCGAGCGCGCGGGGGGCCGCGGCGCGGCGTCTGGCGAATCACAGGGAAGGGGCAACATTTTAAAAGGTTGCAGGGCATGCAAAAGTGAAAGAGAAAGAGGCAGAGAGGGAGACCGAAGGAGAGAGCGCAGAGAGGGAGAATGTGTCTGCGTGCGTGTGTGAGAAAGAAAGTGTGGGCGAGGGAGAGGAGCCCCGGGTGGGGAGAGGGGAGGGAGGGAAGGAGGGAGAGCCCGAGAGGAGGAAGGGAGGGAAAGAGGGAGGGAGGAAGGGAGGGAGGGAGGGGGAGGGGGCCCAGCCGGAGCGCACGGAGGGGGAGGCCGCGGGGGAGGGGGAAGGGGAGAGGAAGCGAGCGAGGACAATCAGACCTAAAAGGCTGGGGCAGACCTCGGGATGCAGCGGGGGTCGTGCGTAGCGGGTAGGAGCTGCTTGGGACCGCGTCCGGGCGCTCGTGGGGCTCTCGGCGCGGCAGGCGCTTCCCGGCCCTGTCTGGCCGCGGGCTCCGCCGCTTCGCAGCCGAGTCTGGGACTCGGGACTCGGCTGCCCGCTGCTGCGCGGCTCCTCCATGACCCGGCGCCCTGCCCGGGACCGGCCCGCTCGCTGCACTGGTCCTCTCCTCGGCCTCCTCTTGAGCTTTCCTCGGACAGGGGCACCGTGCGCTCCCCGGCCACCGTCGCTCTGCCCTCGGCTCTCTGGGGCCGGGGATTCCGGATCGGGAGCCGGGATGCGGGCCGGGGCGCGCACAGACGCTAGGCGGCCCAGCCCGGGCGCCGCTGGCACCGGCTCGCGGCTCCCGGCAAAAACCCGTCCGACTGGCTGGGCCACTCCCGCCTGACGCCCCCCCAGATGACACGACTAGCTCTCCCGGCGTGCTGCCTTTGCCAGTCTACCCGCCAGGTTGTCAGAACAAGCGGCACCTCGCCTCCTGCGTGTCCCTACAGAGCCCCGGCACAATCAGACTGCCCCAAGCCAGCTCCGAAACCCGAAATCCCCGCTCCGGCGCTTGCCCACCACGGCCAAAGTTGTGGAAACAGCTTTGACTTTATTCTCCTCTCTCTCTCATCTTTTTTTGCCTCGCTTACACACGCATTCACACTTGCCCCCACAGGATCCCTCTAGGGGTGCAAGTTCATCCCCCACCTAGCCACCCACCCCATCCAGTCGGCACCTAGAGCCGCACGGAGGTTCGGACCCCGCCCGCCGAGGGCGCCCACACCTGGAGCTGGGTTTCGGCCTCTGCGAAAGTGAAATGCCCAAGCCTCCGGCCAAAGCCCAGACCAGTACAGTATGAATTGTCCTATGAGACTGAGGGGTTCGGCTTCATTCCTACCTGCCCGCAAAGCTCGCCCCCAGCCTCGAAAACAAAGCGACTGGTCTGACGTGGGGTCCCTGCGCCCCTCCTCTAGCGCGACAGGACCCCCCCAGGGAAGAGCCAGTACCCGTGGGATGTCACCCCGTCCCCATCTACCGGGGTGGGGGGCCTGAAAGGAGAACGATTTAAAATAATCTTCAGAAAGAAAAGGGAGGAGGGAGCGGGTGACACATCGTTCACATAAACCCAATTTCTGGTTTCGAGTGAAGTCAAGATCTCCGCCCCTGCGCCTGCACACACACCTCCTGCCTAACATTCTCAGCTGCAAATGCCAAAAAAGAAAAAAAAAAAAAACAGCAAAAGTTGGGACTGCCACCTATTTATTTAGGTAATCTCCAGCCCTACACACCCCAACCCCTCTCTCGGACTCATTGCTCATTACAGTGTTGGTTGTAACCGTTCCCAGCGCCTCCTGCGGGTGGACAGGTCGCGCTAGGGTCTCCCTTGCTGCCTCAAGAAGGCGAGCTCAGGGGACTCTGCGTTTTAAAATGGGTTCCAAAGCGGCGCGCTCTGTCGGCCCAGCGGGCTTGCGGCACCAGAGGTGGTCTGCAGCCGCGCAAGGATTCCCACGGTCGTTCTGGGCTGGTGCAGAAGCTGGTGCTCCCGCACCCAGCGGCCAGCAGGCTCGGCGCAGCACATCTCCCCACCCCACCCCCACACACCCCCGTGGGGTGCGTCGATCCTGTAGCTCAGAGGGAGAAGCTACTTAGAACTTCGTGAAGCACAGAGGATCTGGAGCGAGCCCCGCAGCTGGGATCAGTGGTCTTAAGTTGAACCCGCTTACAGGAAGATGCAGCCCAGCTCACAGCGAAGTGTGGGGGGGCCGTCTCTAAAGCCGAGAAGGGAACCGCTTTAGAAGTGGGGGTGGGGGGAAGAAAGAATGAATGAATGAATGAATGAATGAATAGAAAGAAGAAGGAATATTAAAGATCGGAGAGGAAGTTCAAGAGAGAAAAGAGTTTTCTCTTTCCTTTCTGTTCCTGGTGACTTGGGCCCTCAATCTCGATGAAGATAACACGAGGAGTGCACAGGCAAGTGCCCAGTTGCCAGCAATTGCTTCAAAAGCCCATGTTCTTCTTTTCCCCCATTCTTAGGCACAGCCAAAATTGGTCAGAAAGGGGAGTAAAGTGGGACACGAGCTTCAAAGTAGGGAAACCAAAGAAGGGAGCATCCACGTCCTCTCTCTGCAGCTTCTCCCCCGCGTTCTTCGGGCGAATCCGAGGGACGGGCGCTGCGCTGGGGAAAGTTTGTCCCACCCGCGTTTCGCAGCTGGTTGCAAGGAGAGGAGGAGGAGAGGGAGGGTCAAGCTCGGAGCCTGTGACCGCACGGATGATCGAGCCGGCGTCGCGCTTACCTCGCAGTCCTCGTACTTGATATTATCCGTCAATTTCCAAAGCATTTTCATGGATCGGCGTGAACGGATATGCCCCTCTCGGTCTCGCACCCAAGTGGAGCTACTCTCTGGGTGAGCGCAAAGTGCTGGCTGCCGGCGGTGAGCGCAGGAGGAGGAGGAGGAGGGAGAGGAGGTGGAGGAGGAGAAGGAGGAGGGAGAGGAGGAGGGCAAGGAGGAGGAGGAGGAAGAGGAGGGCGAGGAGGAGGAGGAGGGCGAGGAGAAGGGCGAGGAGGAGGAGAGAAGGGAAAGAGCTCCCGTGTGCGCTCGGAGATCTCCCTCTAATGGTAGAAACTTTTCCCTTTTCCAGCTCTTTACCAACAGCCTAATCGCCTCATTAGCATATCAACAATAGTCCAATTGCTCGCCAGTACCACAATCTGCCGCCGGCCGCTCCGACACAGGTATAAAGGCCTCTCTACGCCGCGAACTTGCTTCTAGAGCGCACTCCAGCCTGCGAACTGATAAAACCTTCCTCGAGCTCCGCCGCGAGGCCCTGCCCCAACACCCCCTCTCTTACCCCAATTCCGCCACATTCCCCTTCCTTTCTTTCTCCGCTTCCTTTTCTCCAGAGATGCCTTCTGCAAAGCCCGGCACTGCTCAAGGTCCAAGCGCCACGCCTGGGGCCCAGCTTCTAGCACTTCTCCCTTAACCCTGCTACCACGATCCGAGCTGCCCTTTTGGCCCCGTGCAATTTTATTAGAAATCATTATCCCTTTCGCAATTAAACATAACCACCAAACCAAGACCGGCGAAGTCACTCCAGGATTTTTTCCCAACAAGGGATCGCCTCCGCTCGAGGCAGCCACCCCCTCGGGCCGCAGCGCCTTGGGAGTTTTATTGGCTTTGAGCTTTCCCCCAGGTTGGAGATTCTGCCAAGCGGCTCCGGTGGCTCTGCTGGGGTTTGCAATCCCTTAATTGCAGCGTGTAAAATAAAAGTTGTACCCTGAAGAGGTTACTTGACAGCTCCAGGGGTTAAACAATTTTTCTCCTGTTTGTGTGAAGCTAGGGCCAACTGACAGTTCAAATTGGTGTTCAGGCTAAGGTTTCCTGGGTGCAACGTGGACACGAATACAGAACTCCTATGGAACTGCACACCCGCTTCTGAAGTTGAGCCTAAAAACAGACGTGTGTGTGCCTGCAAGTCTAGATACCGTCTCGTGCGTGCATCAAAATAAATCACCGGGAACCGACTTTTAGCTGTGTTAATCTGCTCTAGTTTTCCCAAGATTCCCCTTTTTAATTAAAGCAGGGAGAGTTCCTTCATGATTTGGTGATGCTACTAACGCGGGCGTGCTCGCGAGGCAGAGCCCGGCTGCCGCGGAACCTGGAGGCCTGGGAGCCACCTACTCGTCCAGACTGGTCAGTCCGGGCTTTTGGACTCCTCACCGGGGCCTGCTGGGTCCTCTGGGGCTTTTATCCCTTTCGGTTTTGGGATTTTTTTTTAAGTAAGAAAAAAAAAAAAGAAAAGGACCTAATGTGACACTAGGAAATACAGAGTAATTAATTTTCCTGGCTGAGCTTCCTCGTTTGTCCTCCAAAAGAAAGTTACCTCTGTCTTTTCTCTCTGCTATATGTACAAACTCCTTAACTACACTAGGTCCCGCCTCAGAGTTGCTCTAGTAAGGACCTTTGATTCATCTGGGCTTGTTTCTCGAAAATCTCCAGGCCTCCCATATTTCCACCGGGCGTTCCTAAAAGGGGATGGGAACTGTGGCAGATTGGAGCATTCCCTCACAGGTGGAAGGAAGGCAGGAGCTGGGAGAACTCCCCATTCCACCCAAGGCTGCAGAAGGGGAATTCTCCCTCCAAACACCTCAGCAAACTCCCCAAACCTAGCAGAGTAGGCAGAAGGCTCCAAAAAGCTAGGGAGAAGCCGGAGCTGGCAAGGGGCCTTACAGACCCAGGAAGCCCTCCCCATGCTCTGGGCCTCCCTTGCCCTACCTGAACTGAGCACAATTCCTCGGCTGAACCGGGCTGGAGGCTTGGCGCCGCCCTCCGTCCAGAAAATGGTCGACTTTCCAGGGCTAGACCCTGCAGGGCTGTCCCAGCCTGTCGCCAGTGCAGTGGTTTGAAGTCAGGATCTGGGCTGCCAGGAGCACCGACACCCTCCCAGCAGCGGCCATAGCCTGAGCAGGCCAAACCCTAGGCCTGAGAGCATGGGTTTTTACACTCCGTAGACGTCGCCGCGGTGTGCTTAAGGGAACTCCAAGTTTCGCTTTCTTGCCCTCTGCGGGCTTGGAAAGGCCGCCCTCCATCCTCTGCCACCCCATTTCAACCCCCGTTTCCACCTCCCCGCTGCCCCGCGCCCAACAGATCTCCGGCTCCGCACCCGCTGGGGCTGCTAAACTGTTGTTGTATTCCCGCCGAGGGCGCCATTGAGGTGCAGATTGGGACCTGCCGGCTCTGGACTGCCGCCCCCGGTGTAGGCGCTGATGAAAGGCCCGGGCGAGCGCCAGGGTCGCCTCTGGAGCCAGCCGAGCTGCATTTATGCCAGCGTCATTACCACGCTAAGTCGCTTCATTGCATGTCAATGCTCCGGCGGGGCCAGAACCCCGGGACAGCAGCGCCAGGCCTGGGGTTGGAGGTCGGAGATCCAGGCCTGACGTGGGGGGCATAAAAAGGGCGTCGCGGGGAAGAGGGAGTATTTGTGTGAGAGACAGAGTCACAAAGAGAAAGAGACAGTGAGGGGCCAGAACGACTCTCTTTTCTCCGATTGTCAATGCCCAGTGGGAGCCGGGAGCCCAACAGGCCCAGCCCATCAGATTCGGCCCCTCCGGGCCCCAAATCCGCTCGCCCCACCCGAGATCCAGGCCTCCAGCCACTTGCCTAACTGTGAGCCCGCAAGAGCCAGGCCCGCGGCTCCCTCCTTCCTCCTCCTGCGGCAGTCTCGCGGCTTTCAAACCTTAGTCGAACCCACAGAAGGCCCAGTCCCAGGCCAAACCTACTCAACAGGCACCTTCTCACGGCCTAGGAATTCTGCAGCGAAATTCACTGGAATTTGAGGAGAAAACCCAAAGACTGCTCCGAAAGGACTCCCCCAGTCTTCAGCCTCCAAATAAGAGAGTTAGGAAGGGCCTTTAGCCCACAGGGTCAGGAAGGGAAAGGTGTGGATTCCCGGGATTTGTCTCTGGTATGGGATTTGCATCCTTAAACCACGAGGTTTGTCTAAACTTGCGGATGAAATACCATTTAGTGAGGCTTAACTAGGGAGAAGAATATAAAAGAGCTCACTCTTGATAAAAGTAATAAATCCAAGGGAAAAAAGTACAGAACGCAAAAGGCCTTTCTTTCTCCAACTCCAGGTAGCTTAGTGAAGACTGCACTTCTCAGAACTTTACTTTTAATGGCCTAAATCTGAAACAAGAGAAAGAACTCGACCAGGAGTAGCAAGGCCTCAGATTTTTGGGGGGAAGTTCAGGGCATTAGATTCGAATTGTCCCCTGGGCTTTTGGGCACACAGAATCTCACCCTCACCAGGCCTCTTGGTTGGGGCGAAAACAGGGCCTCGCGGTTCTGATGATGAAATCGGCGACAGGCAGAGCCTTTTACCGCCACCATCCTGGCCAGAGCCGCTCTGTTTCCCGAAGGGAAAGTGTCTGGAAGTTGGAAGGAGAGAGCTGGACAAATGCTTCCTTGGCCAGGGTCGGAATCCGGGGCTCAGGAAGGACAGGAGCCAAGCCTTGGATGCCTTGTGGTGTCCGCGGCCTAGCAGGGCCAAGTTCCACAGGCGTTGGTTTTGGCAAATTCACCACCCCCCTGCCTCCTCACCCACCATTCTCACACTCCCTCATCCGTAGCCCAGGCGGCAAAAACCCATTTCAGGAAGTGGAGTGAGTTGCTAGCTAAACTTCGGGCAAACTTTGTATCTCCTACAGAAACACGCTGCCTCCGCGACCCAGCCATCTGGACCCCTTTCCATTCTTCACACATCCTAGATCTCCCGAAATCTGGGGGTACCAAGAGAGACAGGTGCACCAGAACCTGTCCAACACTCAACCCTGGGGTCTAGGGCGAGGCCGCAGGCGCAGCAGGCTGAAAACCTTCACCGCCGCGCACCACAACCCCAGGCCTTCTCCCTCCCCCCTTCCGAATTAGTCATCCTCCCAAGTTTCTACTTGAGGTGGGAGGGGGGTGGGGGAAACGGCCACAGCACAAACCACAAGTGACCCACCAGGCCACCTGTGGAGCGTGCGCCGGACTTCCCCGGCGCCGGGCCCCGCGGGCTGCGCGCTTTGCGCCCAGCACCGCAGTCGCTGCCTGCGCCCGTTTTTCCTGTCTTCGCTGTCTCCTGGGAGCTCTCCTGGGCGCTGCCAGGCGCGCCTCACCTACGACTCCCCTGCCCTGGGCCACGGCGCTTCCTCTCCTCCTCCCCGCTCCGGCCCCCTCCCCTACTCCACCCCTGCCCACCTCAACCCCAGCCAAGGCAAACCCCCCGTACCTGCCAGTCCCCCATTTTGGCAAGTATGGACATCGCGGCTCTGCGCTCCTGGCGACTGGTCCCCGCCGGGCATGGGCTGGAGGGCTCGGTCGGGCCAGCTCCCTGGAATCGCTTAGGCAAATCCTCCTTTTTTACCTGCTCACCAACATCTCACCTGGTCATAAAGAGCTGGGTTGCTACCTGCCGACGCATGCGCGCTGGCCCAGGAATTCACTCCGCCAGCTGCAGTCCCAGCGCCGCACAGAGCTGACCTGGGAAGTGATGGATTTATAGCCGCGGCAATCTTGCCATCAGCTCCAGCTTTTCCCAACAGCCCCAACCCGCTTTCCCGGTCAGTCCCTGGCCCGGGAACCGAAGCTGACTGACTGCTGGATGTGCTGGGTGCGATGCGAGTGTGAGTGTGTTTTCGCACTCCAGTGGTGGGGCATCGACAAGCTCGACCCATGGCTAGCCTCCCCTCGGAACTTTCGAACTGGGGGAGTCTCCACTCCCGGGTGGGGGTCGGGGGTTGGGGAAGGGCTAGACTGCTAGAAGCGTCCAGACCCCATGATCCCCGCGCACCTGGACACAGTGGGGACAGGTCGCCGTCCCCGCCTCCCCACCCGCCCACGAGGTGCAGGGCACGGCTGGCCTTAGCGGATCTGACTCTGCCAACCCCGGGGCCACTTCAGCGTTAGATTCCACATGAAACTGTTGCTCAATAGGTGAAGACGTTCATGATTCTGTGTCACTTCTGGCTTCTAGGTTTAGTCTCCTCCCATCGTAGAGAGAAAGAGAGAAACTCTACACATACATACACACACTCACACACACTCTCTCTTACACACTCAGACTTAGCACTTCTGTACAAAGGTCCACCCCCTTCTTCCTACTTTCACAGTTCCCTTCCCCTCTCCCACTCCTCTATGGCTTCCAGCGCTTTATCTTTTCCATTTAGAACTTTTTAAAGGAAGAATGGGGGCGTTGGTGGCTCTGGGATGGGCAACTGAGGTTTGGTTTAGGGTTTGCTTTCCCATGACAGATAAAATCACTGAAGTGATTTCACCGCTGCTTCTAATTAGAGGGGAGCTTTAAAAGAAGCCACGGGATTTGGGGCTCCCGGAGCCGCACCTGGCCAGGAGGGAGGTGAGGGTGAGGAGATTGGCCTCGGGCCACACTCTCCCAGAGACGGTGCCAGTCCCATTCCGCGGCTATGAGATCGAATTGTCCTGGGTCTAGGCCTGGGACGCCTGGGCCAGGCCCAGTTACCCTCCCGGGCTGCTGTCGCCGGGACTTGGAGACGAACAAAGAACCAGTTTTAAATCGTCTTCTCTGACATGTCAGGCAAATATGTGTAAAAGGTCAGCTCCACGCTGTGGAGCAGAGACCTGTCCCCCAGGCACCAAAACCTCCCCTTTCTAACCGTGCCCGAGAGCCTCCGACCCCTGGGCCCTGTCCAGGCGGCTTTGCACCTCTCGGCCTTCCCAGGGGTGGGGTGGAGGTGCCTCTCCCTGGAGTCCCCTTATCGGTTCCGCATTTTATTCATCCCTGGGCTACAGGACTTTCATCCCAATGCCCATCCTTTAGTTGATTTAAAACTTTCTGGGACCTGCCTTAGAATCTTGGTCAAGGCTGGGGGTTTCTGTGGGTAGTTTTTTTGGTTTGTTTTGTTTTGCTGAGAATTTAAATAAATTAGATGAAGTTTTTAACTCCTAAGTGCATCTTCCCTGGCTTTTTCCAGACGGTGGAAATAGGGCGGTGACTAACTTTTCAGAGTGGAAGACACGCACGAAGGGCGCACCTGCAGCTCTCCGGGATTCAGGCGGGGGTCGCTGTGCTCTCTTAAAAGTGAGCGGCGGTTTCAGCCTGCCACCGCTTCGCCTCGCCAGCTCGGAGGAAACTCTGGCTGGAGGCGACCTCGGGCCCAGCCGGACGGGCCGGGCCGAGCCTAGGAGGGGCTGGCAGACGTGTCCCAGGGCCAGGGTGGGGCGTAGGGAGCGCCGTCTCCACCCTCAGTACTTTTGGGGTGGGGGACCTGAGCGTGCGGAGAGCGGGAGGCAGAGCTGAGAGCGGGGTTAAGCGCGAAGCTAAGGCGCCGCATAGGGTTGGGTGGGAATGGACAGGGTGAGCTGGAAGCGAAGCACCCCAGCCAGGCCTTAGGAGAGAGGACCGTCGGCATCTGTGCACATCCTAGCGGGCGGATGATGTGGGAGAGAGGCGGAGGGAGGTGAAATGCGGGAGCTAGAATTTAGCTTTGCAGTGAGGTCACTTGGGGTCTGCATTCAGCTCCGATATATACATGTAGGGGCTGTGTGATCCTGGGGAAGTTACCGACCTTGTCTGAACTCCTGTTTCCTGGTTTGTAAAGTGGCTAATTGGTGGGAATTCAATAGGAGAATGTGCGCAAAACGCTTAGCACAGCGCCTGGCCAACAATGCGCTCTCAAGAAAGGCTGCTGAGCCTTGTCCAGGACGGTCTACACCGCCCCACGTCCAAGATGAGTTCACAGCGCCCAAGACCTGTTCAATTTAAGATGATGTAAACTGCATTGCCCTTCTTAGACACGCAGCAGCCAGGAGCTGGTCATCTGCACCTCCCGCGATTTCCTCCTCAGAACCCCAGTCCTGCCAGATTTGCGTCCTTCCCTGGCTCCTCAAACACCTGCTGCACCGCTCAGAGCCTTTCCCCACCCCGACCTCCTCCGCAGCTCCGCACCAGCGAGACTGCGCCCCGTGGCACCTCGGGGGTGCCACGATTGGCGGGGGATGGGGGATGCCTCCCAGCTTCATCCGCTCTCCGGGTTCCAGACAACCATTCCGGAGAGCCAGCTGCTCTCAGTGCGGGCAGGCCCAAGGCCACTAACTGCACTTGGCGACCCACCTCCGTTCCCAAGAGGCCTCGGAAAGTGCGGCCTCGGGTCTCTTTTGAAACAGAGACCCGCGGCACCCCGCTTCTCCCCCTGGGATAGGAGAGGGAGAGCCGCGGGAGTTCCGCAGCCACTCCTGGCGCTGCCACCACGAAGCAGGTTCACTAGCTAACAGGGCCTGGGACACTGAGCCGTGTCGCAAACTTTTCTGTGCCCCACTCAATGAGGGAAGCCTGAGCTGCGGTGAGGGGCGGGATGACCTGGTGTTGGGTTGAGCGGAGCTCCCAGCTTCAGGTAATGCTGAGCTCAGGCTCTCTGAGGCCTGTGGTGTCAGAAACTGCGGTGGAACCCATTCTCCGCCAACAACCCTCCTCCCAGCGCCATCAGCCCCAAAGTTTCTGAGGGAGTAATCTCTGAGTTAGGGTTAAGCCCTGCTTGAGCCTCATTTTCACTCCACTCCTTCACTTACCATCAGGCACCATACCCCTAGCGATTTCACCCAACGTTCTCTAAATGAACTTGGATATCTGGACCCAAGTCTGAGCAATGGGTTCATTCGGGTGATGACCTCGGCTTTGCTTTTCCGCTGGGGAGTTGAAGATCCCTGGGCAGGTGGAGTGACCTCTGGCTTCACGTCTTTCCTCTTCCCCTGTCTCCCACAGTGGCTGCTATTCCCTGCCCTTGGCAGAGCAAACCTAATTTAAACTTTGTTTCCTTCTTGGTCCCCCTTGGCGTGGTAAACTTGCCCTCAGGGTCAGGGCCAGGAAGAAGGAGAATTGGGCTACTCAAAGGAAAAGGTGAGGGAAACTGAGTGGCATGACTCTCCAATTGGATTAGGGCAAAGGAATTACCAGGAGAATTACCAGCAACCACAGGAGAAGAAATTAGCCAAATCTCTTAGCAAAGGTGTCCAGGGAGAAGGTGAAGAAGGAAGGGTGTGCATTAGGGATGTCCCACTGTGGCTTTCCAGAATGCACGCTTTCAACTGACAGCAGTGGGTACAGGCCCGAGGTGTGCAGCAAGCTGGGAAGCCCAGAGGCCGAGAAGCTAAAGATGCCCTGGAGACTGGAGGAGCGCATCACCGGTCAGTGCGCCCCCTCCAGGAGCGGCCTCCCGGCCCTCTCGGCCTTAGGCGACAGGTGCAGCAGCTGTCTCTACTGCCCGCTGTGCCAGGGCGGCTGCCGAGCACTGGTGCGGAACCACTATCGGAACGAGTTTGCACTTCTGTTTACAAAGCAATCCTGCCATCAAAAGAGGAACAAAATCACCACTTATCACACCCTGTCATAAAGTAATCTGCCCTGGAGGGAAACCCTTGTGGAGAACTGCTGTGTGTGTGTGTGTGTGTGTGTGTGTGTGTGTGTGTGTGTGTTGGGGGAGGGGGGATGGAGGAAAGGGGGATTCTCCCAACTCTTCTGCAGAGTAAATCGCTGGAACGCGTGGTGTCCCAACCGGCCTGGAAAGACCGAGAGTACCATGAGCTGTGAAGCTGGGGTGTGACAGGGATGCCCGTCCAGGGCTGGCAAGAGTGCAGAATGGCTCTCTTGGATCTTTGGAATAGGCACATCTGCAGACCCCGCTCCAATGTTTACTTTCCTAGCGCCTTCGAAGATACTCCCAAGGGCCCCCAAAATAGATCAGCAAAAAGTGTTGGGGGTGGGGGGAGTGAAAAAGCCAGTTCTTGAAGACTGTAAGGTCCCCTTTCGCATCTCAGCATCTGGAGTGTGCAGGGAATTCCTGACCAGTGGTTTTGCTCCCTCCAATCCCTTGCCTCCCCCCTCCCATGTTATGCACTTGTTCTTGGAGAGATGGACGTTAAAGAAGCGTCAAGCAGTTCTCACTGCAAATAAATGGTGCAGAAATAAGAGAGAGAGGATGAAAGCCTAGGAAGTTATAAGTGATCCTGACCCGACCCAGCCACCAGGGGGTTATCTCTTTCCAGGTCCTGCCTTGTGTAGAGTGAGGTGATAAACGCTTTAGGCAGCCAAATCCAAGCACAGCTGGGTGCCTGGCGGGGATGGGGTGGGGGTGGTCCTATGTGGTGCCTCTGCCTCTGGAGTTACCTTTAGGAAAGGTCAAGAGAACTATCCTCCCCTCCATGTCTGCTGAAAAGGGGCTATTTTGCTAGTCTTGTTATCAGTAATTCACCACTTAATATAACCAGGTTTTAGGTTTGTATATGAGCGATCCTGGACATCCAATACCATCCCCCCAGTTCCCCAGCGCCACTCCTGGACATTCTAGACACCAGCGAGGCTTCTTCTGCAGCCATTCCTAATGTAGCAGATCCATTTTGGGGGGAGTCTGGATGCAGGTGTGTGTGATCCAGCCTGAATTTGAGACTCTCAGTTTCTTTAACACCAGCTTGAAAAGTCTGCAATCACTAGCCCTGAGAGAGTACTTTGGTTCCTAATGGGATATCCTGAGTCAGGGTGGCTGAAAGAGCTACCAGTTTACCTTGTACATGGCAGGCAGAATTCTCAATGCTAACTTACCACTTGCACTTATTGAAGGCCTGGGGGAGATGGTTTCATCCTTCATAATTCCTGTATGTCTGATGCCAGTGGAGAGTCAATGTTTTGCTGTGTCACTGTGCAAAAAACAAACAAACAAACAAAAAACCTGTAAGGTGAGGGATTGTACTTTTCAATGACTGGGGAGCTAGTTCCAAAGCTGGCACAATCGCCAAGAGCTAAATGGAAGAAGGTCCTTGCTCCTTCTCCAAAAAACCTTTCCTGGGGGTAATGGGTGACTTAGGGCAGTGACCTTCAAACTTTGCTGTGTATTAGAGTCAGCTGGAGGGTTGTAAAGTCGCGATGCCTGAGCGGCTCAACACAACAAAGAAATCAGAATATCTGGGAGTAAAACCCAGATTTGGGAACCATTTAGGGAAAGTCTGCCTCGATCTGTAGCAGAGTTTTGGGATTGACTTTCTAAACTGCAGCCACTCCTCATCTTTGGCCTTGTGAAAAACTTGAGACCCCGGCTTTATCAGTCCCCCTTTTGAAAAACAGGGCGTGTCTCAGCCCTAGGTATGCAAAGCTAAACGTCTCAAACCGCTCTGCATTCGAATTAGCCAACTTAAGAACAAGTCCAACAGCACTGCTAAGCAAGAGCCTAATAACTCAGCGTTTCGCGACATCTCTTGGCGGCGTTGACCGTTTGCCCGGGACACTGGTTTAGAAGCACGGCATAGGGTGTCTCTACATCTTAGAAATCAAGACAGCCTCTAGGTTAGAATAAAGTTTACTCTGGACTGGGCATAACTCCACTCCACCTCTGCGATTCTTCTTCTCGTTTCCCGTCTTCTGTCTTTTCTTTCCTCCCTTCCCAACTCCTAGCGCGCTACTTTAACGTCTCAGTCTCGTTCGCTAAGCCCATGCGCCTGGGACTTGTTCTTTGAATCTCAAGTCCGAAAAGCCAGGAATCCTCGATCATGGACTTCCTCCTGCTAAATTAGAGGGAGTGAAATTTCGCTCTCCTCTCCATCCTACTTCCCCATCCCAAACTCGCTAGATTAAGTTCGCTGACCAGGCGCGCACCCAATGGCAGCACCCTCTCCAACATTTTCCCCACCAGAGAGGCAAGTGTCCTACATTTGTACGTAAAGGTCCCTGAGTGGCTAGGTGGAGAGGCTCGGATGTCTTTTCCTGGAGCGGGCCTCGGGGAGCTGCAGCAGCCCCAGCCTCAGGCACCACAGCCAAGCGAGCGCGCCTTGGGCTCGCTGCTCTGCACGCAGCTGGAGGTCTGGGCCGCTGACCCTCTGGCCACGTAGTCAACCCGAGGATGTGTGCCCCGGGGCTCGGCCTTGCCTCGGGTGAGAAGGCTAGTCACCATTCAGGGTGCAGGTGTCATGGCCTGGAAATGGCAATATCTGAGCAAACAGGTGGGCGTCGCTTCCCGGCGGTGCGGTGGCCGCTGGCTCGCAGCGCGCTCCAGCTTTCGGCGCCGCCGCCGCCCCTTTGCTCTGCGGACTCAGCCAGTTCCCGGGTGGCCCAGCTGGGTGGCTCCGAGGCCTGCCCCCTTGGGCTGCGGCGGGAGGCGGGGACTGCAGTGCCGAGTGTAGGGCGCCCCAGCCGGGCTGGCGGTTCACGCTGCGCTCGGGCCTCTGCCGGGAGGGCGCCCTGGCGCCAAACCCGGGCGGGCAGGGGGGTGGAGAGCCGATTGAGTTTATTCCCATTCAGAATTTAGAGGCTGGTGGAGACAGAGAGTCTCCTAAATGGATGCAAGTCTCCTGAAAGTCTGGGCCGGAAGCCTCGAAACTTTCTGCCACGCAAAGCCCCAGCTAGTCTCCAGGGCTCGGTCCTGGTTCCCTTTGTGCAGGCCCGGAAGTGTCCGCCCGGTTTTCCCACTGCCTGGAGGGGCCCAGGGTCGCGGATAGACTCGGACAAGGCTCCGTTTACTTTCAGTTTGTCTTAGTTGACTAATGGCGGGACTGGTTGTAATGCGTGCTCTGAGATTTTCTCCAGGATTTGTCACTTTAATTTTGCAATATGAGGTAAGGCCATGTTTTTTAAAGTGGAGACACTCTCTTTGCCTTTCCTGCCTTCCTAAAGGAAGCACATCCTCTTGATGTGCCCGACGGGACCTGCAGACTCCAGACTCCACTGCTTTTTCTCAAAACCACACACTTGAAAAGAATACACTTCGATTGCTGTTAAAACTTGTCAGATTTCCATGTTTTAATCGCTGGCAATGTCTTAATAATGGAACCTTACCACTTTTGCACGTGTTGCTGAAAAGAGAGCTCTCCAGTAAAAGTGCCGTGCCCATGAGTCTCTTGAGGCTGTGCAAGGTTACTTATCAAGGATCTCAAAATGACAGGCAGGCTACCTCTGGATTTCCAATCACATGTTCAAAACTCAAAGATTCTCAGTCTGGAGAGGTTTGGTTTTGTTTTGGTTTGGTTTTAAAAGCTCATTCCTCCCCCCCCCCCACCCCCAATAACACAGTACTTAATTGTTTTATTAAATTGTTCCAGGCTCTGGAACCCTGGGGAGGCACTCTTCAAATGGTATTGTTTTTTCTGTATTTATGTCAACACAGGAAGTTGCATTAGAAACTTAAGTTGACAATTTAATAAGGCCTGATCAAGTATATGAGGTTTTTTTAAAAAAATTGACGTAGCACATATCACTTCATTTGTTTTCAAACTCAAAATGTGCTCTTTCTGAATCTTACGATGTAAATCGTAGAGTCTTTATACTAGATAATTTTAGCTGTGATATTGTGAATATAAGAATTGTACAATTTTCCTTTGAAATGTGCTGCTGAGAAGAATAAAAATGAAGTTTTCTCTCTGGAAATGGCTGGAAACAAACGTCAAAACCTGACAATTTACACACACAGTTCTCTTTCTGACTTGACTCACCCCTTTGAGAATTACTTTTTAAAACACCAAAGTTATAGGATACTAAGTTAATTGTGGTCTTTCTAATTCTGAAAAACTGGTTTTCATTTGCCTCAAGAACTTTTAAGGCAAAGTTGTCTAAGATACTTCCTTGAACAAAGACTCAGACAAAAGCATTTGACTGCTTTTAATTTCTCAGCATTTTTACATTTTAAAACTATAGCTTGAATGAAACTCAAGTGTCCTGAATAAAGAATAAATACTTAAAAATTGTTTAAATACATATTTTCTCCTTTCATTGTTGGAGCATTCAAGCAAAGATTGTGTAAAATTCAGGTTAAGTAAAATGTAAAAAATACATATCCAGTTTACATTACATATTCTTTTTGTGTACAAATATTTATACCAATAAAAACCCCCTAAGATATTTATATCTTTAACATCTATTTTTCTTTTACCTTTACTACTAGAAAGAGAAGCTAACAAAGGAAAGCCTCTTCAAAAAATGGGATTTCCTTGGCCTTAGCAGTTCTGGTGTGTTCCACTGCCAACACTAGGTAGGAAAAATCTGACTTGTGATGTTGTGATTAAATAGCGGCCTGGCTCAAACTGCCCAAAGAGAGGGAATTCACTATGAGTTCCACAGTTTTATCTTGAGGAAGAAACTAGCAGAAACACAGAATTTTAGAGCCTTAGAGCTCTCATTACAAAATGGCCCTCACTATAAAGTGGCATATACTGAACCCAGCTTAGATGTGTGTACTGAGCCCAGTACAAATGTATATAGTGAACCCAGAGCTCTCATTACAAAATGCCTCTCACTATAAAGTGGCATATACTGAACCCAGCTTAGGTGTGTGTACTGAGCCCAGTACAAATGTATATACTGAGCCCAGAGCTATTCAGCTTGTTGGTGGTGGGGGTGGTTAGGATTAGATGACAACACCTATTCTCGAATGAGTTAGTCTATGATGCTGTGTCCTAGATTGTGCTCAAGATTAAAAACCTGATTAAAAGACCTTTTTGACTGAAGAGTGTTCTTAAACCTTAGCATCCAATCTGCTTTAAACAGGTTGCAATTAAACATAATGCTATGTGTTCATTGTTAATTGCAGACAGGAAATGTCCAGTGTTGATAGAAATTACCTCTAAAGTCTTGATTCTGGAAGAAGCTAGAGAAATGGCTCTTGGATTTCTAATACTGGCACTTCTTTGGTGACTGTTTCCCATGAATTACCTCAACTTGCACTGAAAGCCACAAGAAAACCAAAAAATGCAAACTACAAGCCTGAATATGCCTACAGATTACCTGTGTCTTTAATGTGTCTTGAGCAGTTTGGATACATGCTTGATATTTTGTGGCAACAAAATACTAGTGCCAGACCTGTATACCTATGTAACAAACCTGCACGTTCTGCACATGTATCCCAGAACATAACATATAATTTTAAAAAATTCAAAAATAAATAAATAAAATTTAAAGACTCAAAAAAAAAAATACTAGTGCCAGGACTCCACTTTTAGTATCACTTTTCATATTTTAGTATTTAGTATTATCATTTTATCTTTCAATGTATTAGTGAAGCTTCTACGGTATTGTTCTGTCTTTTCAAATCAACAGGTGATAGTAGGAAAGCAGGAATAATCTCCCAGGAATCATTATTTTATTGAGAGTTATTAGGGAGTAATAAGAAACTTGACAATAAGAGTGGAAACATTAAATCAAGGTGGGGGGAAAAAAGAAGTATCTACCTAAAGAAAATGTTTTATTCATCAATAATCATAACAATGGAAATGGATTATGAAAACAGCTAAAGGAAATCTTCACCAATAAGTTTGACTATATTTATTCCAGTCTCTGTGACACCAAATCTCATGATTTTCTAAAAAGATGTGACTCAAAATTAGCAAACACTGCAAAGAAGACACACGTGCTATTTATGAGTGCTTTTAAGTCTCTTAGCAGAGACACATTTGGAAGCTAAATGGAATCACAGTGACTAAAACTTTTTCTGAAATCCCCAATCCGATGTTGAAGCACATGGCTCAGAAACAATCTCAATATCATCAAATAACTAAACCACAAAAAAGAAAAAGAAGCTCTCAAATATCCCTTTCCCAAACGTTTCCCAAATGTATACACATATGTAGACAGTAGAGGCTAGAACTGGAATTGTTTTTGCCTAAACATTTGCTGCCCCCACGTGTCCCTTTAGAAAACTGAGTGTTAAAGCTAAATCATGTTCATTAGCACCTTCTATACAGCATTCGCAGGTTAGGTACGCTTAAGTGTGATCACAGAAACAGCCCAGTGTTGGTAGAAAGTACCAGAGACAGGGCGGGGAAGCAGGGAGGGAAGAAGCTGACTTTTGCCACAGACTCCTGGGGTAATCCCCAGTAATTACATAAGGTCCATGTGTCTTTGTCTCTTCAAACTTGAAATGGGTGGCAGGCTGGTGGGACGGGACGAGTAGCCAGATTTTCACTAAGGTTCCATCTAGCTCTAATATTTGGTCACTCTCATTGAGGATGATAAAAGAGAAGTAGGGAAACCCAGTTATCCCATTTCTGGCTAAGTCGTCACTTTGGAGGTGTGGCCAAAAACTCATGAATGAACTTCCTGTTTCATCACTCGAATCCATTACCTCGGTTCTCTGTCATCTTGACAAACTTGCTTCCCAATGTCTGAGTGGCTCTGAGCCTAAGGAGACAAGAAGGAGTTTGTTTTCTTTAATGTCCAACAATTATACATTATACAGTATCCTGCTCATGACTACAAAAATGAAAATCATCTTCCACGTTTATAGTGTGTATCAGTAGCAGGTGCCTCAACACCTCAACAGCTCTGACTAGTTTTTTTTTTTTTTTTTTTTGAGACAGAGTCTCACTCTGTCACCCAGGCTGGAGTGCAGTGGCACAATCTCGGCTCACTGCAACCCCCGCCTCCTGGGTTGAAGCAAGTCTCATGCCTCAGTTGGGACTACAGGCACACACCACCACACTCGGCTAATTTTTGTATTTTTAGTAAAAACAGGGTCATCATGTTGGCCGGGCTGGTCTCGAAATCCTGGCCTCAAGTGATCCACCTGCCTTGGCCTCTCACAATGCTGGGATTACAGGCGTGAGCCACCTCGCCTGGCCACTAGTTCTTAAATCTCCACAATACCATGATCAGCATGGCAAAGCCATTCTCTCCCTATTCCAGTTTTGTTCAACTCTCAGGCAACCACATGTTTAAAGAAAGGCTGGGTCCCTCCCTTGCCCAAGGGGGTGAAT
Source organism: Homo sapiens (assembly GCF_000001405.40). Classification (NCBI taxonomy): domain Eukaryota; kingdom Metazoa; phylum Chordata; class Mammalia; order Primates; family Hominidae; genus Homo; species Homo sapiens. Next base: position 10,430,889 of record NC_000006.12, read on the forward strand.
TTTGATTCATCTAAGAGAGATATTAGTTTTATCCTGATCACCATCTACGAAGACATGTAACTTAAAAATTCAAAGCCCCAAAGGCAGGAAATGCAAACTTTTAGGTTAACTAGGTGGATTTTCAAACATTTTCTCCATTACCAGATGGTCTAATATTTAACTGAATAGAAAACAGATTTATAGTGTGAAAAATATTTGTGTATTCTTACCTAAATCATGAACCCATTATTTACCTTCTCTCTGTGTACCAAGAAACCAAAGACATTTAATGGGCATGATTACCAACTATAATCAGAAGTATCTAGGGAGAGCCAGAGGGGATGTGATCTTAGAACAGGCTTTAGAGTGACAGACGTGAAGTCATTGTCCTTTGAGCTACAGTTCAGTTTGGTGGAAGAGCAAAGTGCCAGGACTATTGCAGGCCCATTCTTCATTCTCAGGGTTTTGTCATTTCTGCAATGATTCTCAAATGACAGTCTCTATTCCCATGCTGCACCCATATTTTCCCAAAGCTGATTAATTTAACTACAATATATACCCTTCTCAAAAACTGCTAATGTAACAGGTAGGAAACACTCAATATTCGGGAATGCTGATGAGTTTCCTGAGTAGCATGCGACTGGAATGGGAAGAACAGGAATCTGGTATCAGCCTAGCCACAGGCTGGCTGTTATGTCCTTGGGCAAGTTTCATCTTGTCTCTGGGTTGTATTTCCTGACCTGTAATGCAAGAGTATCAGTCCCAACCATCTCTGAGGCCCTTTCCAGCTCTCAGAGACTCTGGAATCAGATTCATACATCTGTCAGCTGAGTTTCCAAACAACACAGCCTGGAAACAACAATTCTAAAAATAAAACATACAACTAAGAAACCAGTCACAAGACTAGAAAACATCATCACATGTATTCTGTCACTGGTAACAAAATAGTTGCATACATATGCGAGCCAGTCCTATTTATTATTATTTTTTTTTTAGAGACAGGGTCTTGCTCTATTGCCCAGGCTGGAGTGCAGTCACCGCTAACTGCAGTCTTGAACTCCTGTGCTCCAACGATCCTCCTGCCTCAGCTTCCCAAGTAGCTGGGACCACAGGTGAACATTGCCACACCTGGCTAATTTTTTATTCTTATTTTTATTAGAGAAGAGTTCTCCCTTTGTTGCCGAGGCTGGTCTCAAACTCCTGGTTTCAAGTAATCCTACTGCCTCAGCCTCCCAAAGTGTTGGGGTTACAAGCACGAGCCACTATGCCCAGCCAAGTCAATCCTATTTTAGATTCATCATTATTCATTAGAAAAAGTATTTTCACTTATTTGTATCTCACCCTAACTTATAAAATCCAAATAACGTTTGACTGACATGAAGATAATATGCCACTTAATCATGTTATTGACTTCACTTAAGTGGGCTACACAAATAACGCCAATAATATTCAGTAATATAAAAATTATGACATTTTTCTAAGGGAACTGAGTCATACAGGCCTTGAATGATTATATATAATAATCTTTTTTTTTTTTTTTTTTTTTGGACACGGAGTTTTGCTCTTGTTGCCCAGGCTGGAGTGCAGTGGCGCAGTCTCGGCTCACTGCAACCTCTACCTCCCAGGTTCAAGTGATTCTCCTGCCTCATCCTCCCGAGTAGCTGGGATTGCAGGCATGCACCACCATGCCCGGCTAATTTTTTGTATTATTAGTACAGACAGGGTTTCACCATGTTGGCCAGGCTGGTCTTGAGCTCCTGACCTCAGGTGATCCACCCGCCTCAGCCTCCCAAAGTGCTGGGATTACAGGCCTGAGCCACCGTGCCCAGCAATAATCTTTATAGTCAAGTTTGCTGTTGTGTGTTTTTTTTTTTTAAAAAACAGAATTAGTTGTTTTGTCTTTTATTTTGTTTTGTTTTAGAGGCAGAATCTCACTATGTTGCCCAGGCTTATTTTGCACCACTGGCCTCAAGCAGTCCTCCCAGCTCTGCCAAATTTTAGACACCTGGACTTGGAAACCCATGAGAAGTTGGCCAGCGCTTCCTTTTGCATTTATGCAGAGCAATGGTAAACGTCAGCAGCAAATTTACAATCAATCTTATTTTCCAGTGTCTCCAGAGATTTGATTGTTTTGCTTATATGGCTTATGGCAATACTTACCTCCAATGTCTGATTTTTCAAAAAAATTTCATCTAATCCTTTGTGCAATGGTTTACATCTAATTTTTTTTGTTCTGAGATGTAGACAGCTATTAAGAACTGATCTTTGCACAGTAAATTTTTCCTATTCTTAGTCATTATCCTTAGGTGAGGCAACATGGTGCCATTCAGTTATTCAGCAAATTCTCACATCTTCCGTGTGCCATGCATTGTTACAGGTTTTGAGCCTAGAACCATGAAAACAAAAGACAAAAATCTCTGCCCTTGTGGACTTTGTATTCCAGAGGAGAGAAAATAAACAAGGTAAGTAAAATATATAGTATGGTAGATAATGAATGGTATGGGCTGAAGGAAAAACATAAACAAAGACGTTAGGTAGTGCTGAGAGGGAGGGTGGTTTGCAGTTGAGATAAGGATGTCTCCAAGGATATGGTGGCATCTGCATTACCAGAGAAACATTCCAGGCAGAGAAACCAGTGAGTGCAAAGGCCCTGAGGCAGAAGCATGGCTGGCTTGTGTGGTAGGCATGAGTGAGCTAAGGACAGAGGAGCTACAGAGGACGCCAAAGAGAAATTGAGAATTGAAGGGAGTTGGGGGATGGAGCTGTTGGTACCGAAGGGAGACATTATAAAGACCTTAGCTTGGCTGGGCACTGTGGCTCATGCCTGTAATCCCAGCACATTGGGAAGCCGAGGCAGGTGGATCACCTGAGGTCAAGAGTTCGAGACCAGCCTGGCCAACATGGGGAAACCCCATCTCTACTAAAAATACAAAAATTAGCCGGGCGTGGTGGCGTGCACCTGTAATCCCAGCTACTTGGGAGGCTGAGGCAAGAGAATCGCTTGAACCCGGGAAGTGGAGGTTGCAGTGAGCCAAGATCACACCACTGCACTGCAGTCTGGGCAACAAGAGTGAAACTCCATCTCAAAAAAAAAAAAGACCTTAGCTTTTCCTCTGAGAGCAGAAACTTTGGAGGGGCTTGAGTCAAGCAATGGCGTGATCTGCTTCGTATCTTAACAGAGTCACCTTGGCTGCTCGGTCAGGGCAGGGGGACAAGTGTGGAGGCAGCAAAGTCAATTTGGACGCTGTGGCCAACAACCATAAGCACGGCTGAGGTCACCTAGGGAGTGCTTGTGGATGAACAGGGAAGAGGCCCAAGACTGGACGTGGAGGTCTCCAATGTTTAGAGTCAGGGAAATGAAGGACACCAACAAAACTCACCTAAGAGAGGAGCAGTCGAAGAAGGAGGGGAACTGCTGAGCATGGGCTCTGGAAGCCACAGCTCCAGGAAGAGGAAGTGAACAGCTCTGTCAAACGCTGCTGCTGGGTGGAGCTCCCTGAAGACAGAGAGTGAACCCTTGGTTTTCGCCATGTAGAGGTGAGTGGATGTGGTGGAAAACCTGCAGGGAGGTTAGAATCAGGGAGCTCTACCATTTTAGCCAAATTCACTACATAAAACCTAGGCACTGCTAAGCAATTTACTCACCCCTTTGATCCTCAGCGGTCTCATTAGTAACACAGATGGAATGATTCCTACCTCAGGCTGGTGAGCTCTTAAAGAGACAATGTTAGGAGTATTCATTTGCTAGGATGGCCTTCACAAAATACAACCGACCTGAATTGCAAACATTTATTTTCTCACAGTTCCGGAGGCTGGAAGTCCAAGATGGAGCTGCTGTGAGGGTTGGTTTCCGGTGAGGCCTTTCTTCCTAGCTCGTAGACAGCCACCTTCTCTCTGTGTCCTCACATGGCTTTTCTTTTGTGTCCATGCCGAGAGAGAGGACTCTCTGAGGACTCTCCCTCTTCTTGTAAGGACACCAGTCCTATCAGACTAGGGCCCCACTCTTATGACCTCATTTAATTTAATTATGTCTGTAAAGGCCCCTGCTCCAAATATAGTCACATTGAGGATTATGGCTTCATAATCCTGTGACTCTGGGGAGAGGACACATTTCAGTCCATAACAAAGCCCTTAGTGTGTTTTAGTGCTCAAAACTGTTCATTCATACCTCGGTTATTCCATTATTATTGCCTACGATATTACCACTTCAGGGTTTTTGTTATTTTTTACAATATAGAGCACAACGTATAATAAACTACACATACGAATTCTCATTGAGGAATTACAGAAAATATATCTATCGCGTCTAACAAGGTTTAATTAGCATCTTGGAAAAAAAAAAAAACACCTACGTTTTTAAGGAAAAAGTTGGCCAATACTGCCATCTGTTGGAATTTTGGTCAAAGCTCATGTGTTGGACTTTACTCATTCTTTGTCAATATCTTTTCTTTCTTTCTTTCTTTCTTTTTTTCTGAGACGGAGCCTTGCTCTGTTACCCAGGCTGGAGTGTGGTGGCGCGATCTCGGCTCACTGCAACCTCCGCCTCCTAGGTTCAAGCGATTCTCCTGCCTTGGCCTCCTGAGTAGCTGGAATTACAGGCACGCGCCACCACGCCCGGCTAATTTTTGTATTTTTAGTAGAGACGGAGTTTCACCATGTTGGTCAGGCTGGTTTCGAACTCCTGACCTCGTGATCCACCCACCTCGGCCTCCCAAAGTGCTGGAATTACAGGCGTGAGCCACCGCGCCCGGCCCTTTGTCAACATCTTATATGTTGCTGTGATTATTTTCTTCCCTAATAAGTGTAAAATTGGATGATTTTGTTTTCAATTTAAACCTACAATAAGTATTCTAAGAAATACACAAAGATTCTACTATGACAGAATGAGTCTTTTCCTACTTGCGACATTCATTCTAAATTTCACAAATGCAAGTTGTGGAAAGAGAGACATTGATGGAAAAATTTCTACTTTTGGAGACAAATTCTCATTCGCATTAGTTTTATTTTTATTTCTCAATTATAAGTTATTTGGCGTTCTGGCTCACCTAATCCGTGAACCAAGAGGGTTGCTTTCGGAAGCCTACTAGTGGAAAATGAAAGTTTCAGATCTGAAGCTAGCAAATGCTCACTTGCTGATGATGAGGAACAAGTTCTATTATAATAGAGTTGGTTACAAGGCTATGCAGCAAGAAAAAGGTGCTCAGCTTTATGAGAGAAGTGCAACAGATATTGGAATGTGGTGGCCTTGATGATGCTGTTCTTAGGAGACTCCATAGGCATTCTTTTTTTTTTTTTGAGACGGAATCTCGCTCCGTCGCCCACTCGCCACCGCGCCCGGCTAATTTTTTTGTATTTTTAGTAGAGACAGGGTTTCACTGTGTTAGCCAGGATGGTTTCCATCTCCTGACCTCGTGATCCGCCCGCCTCGGCCTCCCAAAGTGCTGGGATTACAGGCATGAGCCACCGCGCCCGGCCGCAGTAGGCATTCTTATACTTTGATGGGAGTAGTGTAATATGGTATAGCTTCTTTGTGAAATCGATCCAAATAAATATGAGCACACCTTTGAACCTAGCGACTCCACTTGTTGGAATTTATCCTACAGATGGAGTTGCAAGTGTGCGAAATGATGGGTTTATATATCGTGACTTTTTTAATAATAGCAAAGACTGGAAACAGTCTAAATGCTATCAATAAGACACATTTAAATAAATGATGGGTCAGTCGTATAAAGGAATAACATTCAGTCATTACAAGGAATGAGGCAGTTCTCTATGTACTCTACAGATTCATTTCCAAGACATATTGTTAAGGAAGAAAGCAAGGTGTAGTGCACTAGGTATGGTATACACATGTGTTAAGAATTGTGTTTTACTGTAGTATACCATACCTTATATGTTTAATAGAACATATCTCATCTATATTTTGTAATTCATTTTTATAAAACTGCCTGTAAATAGAAAAATTTTATTATCTCTTTCATGTCTACAGCTTCTACATTTATGTCCCCTCTTACTTTTTTTTTTTTTGGAGAGACAGTGTCTCACTATGTTGCCTAGACCAGTTTCAAACTCCTGGGCTCAAGTGATCCTTCTGCCTCAGCCTCCCAAAGCGTTGGAACTACAGGTGTGAGCCAGCCCGCCTGGCCCCTCTTACATTCTTTGTTGTTGTTGTTTTGTTGTTGTTGTCTTTGTTGTTTTTTGAAGCAGAGTCTCCCTCTGTGGCCCAGGCTGGAGTGCAGTGGCTTGATCGTGGCTCACTGCAACCTCCGCCTCCCAGGTTCAAGCCATTCTCCTGCCTCAGCTTCCCGAGTAGCTAGGACTGTAGGCATATGCCACCACGCCCAGCTAATTTTTTTTATAATTTTAGTAGAGATGGGTTTTCACCATGTTGGCCAGGCTGGCCTCAAGCTCCTGACCTCCAGTGATCTTCCTGCCTTGGCCTCCCAAAATGCTGGGATTACAGGCATGAGCCACTGGGCCGAGCCCCCTTACATTCTTAATATAGTTTATTTGTGTCCTTTCTTTTTTCACTTTTTCACTCTTGCTTACAGGTTTTTCAATTGTGTTAGGCTTTTTAAAGAACTGCTTGTCTTTGTAATGCTCTATATTATAAATTTTAGTTGTATTTATTTACTTCTGCTCTTACATTAATTTTTCATTTTTGATCTTTGAATTTATTTTGCTGTTGTTTTCTAATTCTAATTTGGATGACTAGCTAATTAAAAAAAATGTTTTCCCACTTCTTAAATGTCAGCATTTATAGGCTTTTGCGCTATACATTTCACTCAAAGTAGATTTTGTGAAATGCCACAATATTTGGCATGTGGCATTTTCACAATTGTCAATTCAAAATGTTTTCTAGTTTTCAGTGTGACTTATTTTTTGATCCATGGCTTTACTTATAAGTGTATATTTAAAAATTTCCAAATATATCATTTGTTTTGACTATTACATTTTTCATTAAGGTATAACTGACAAATAAAAATTACGTATGTTTAAAAAAGGAATTGTATTTTGCTGCAAGTAACAGTGAGCTTGTTATGGTGTTTAAGCTGTTTCAACTGCTAAAAAACAACAACAACAAAACAGATATGGACAGGGCCATGGCTTATAAGGGAACTCCATCATTCTCAGGACCTAATTTCCTCCATCTTGTTGCTCTGCCATCCCAAGTGGGCTGTTTTACAGTCCAAGAAAGCTGCTTAAGCTCCAGTCATCACGTCCACATCCCAGCCAGCAGAAAGGCAAAAGATCTGACAAATGTTACATTCTAGTATCTTCCACTCCAGTATCGAAAACTTAGTTACATAGCCTGCATTATTAGCTAACAGAAAGGCTGAGAAATGCAGTTTTTTGCTGGACAGCAATGAGTGGCTTCAAATACATTTGGACGGCTGTTATAAAAAGAGTGAGGAGATCAGACGCCAGTGGCTCACTCCTGTAATCCCATCACTTTGAGAGGCCAAGGTGAAAGGATCCCTTAGGCCCAGGAGTTTGAGACCAGTCTGGGCAACATGGTGAAACTCTGTCTCTACAAAAATTTAAAAATTAGCCAGATGGTGCGTGCCTGTAGTCCCAGCTACTCAGGAGGCTGAGGCAAGAGGTCAAGGCTGTGCTGAGCCTTTGTTCATGCCACTGCACTCCAGCCTGGGTGGCAGAGCAAAACCCCATATCAACAAAGAAAGAAAGTGGGAGAATGGATGTTGAGACAGGCGACTTGCTGTCTCTTTCATAGTATGCTAACATTTATGTGATGAGGAGAATATATAATCTGTATATGTTAAGAAAAGTTTGGGATGTCTAGAAATACACAAGTACCTAGTAACAGTATGTATAGGTGTCTTTGGGAAGATCTGATGACTAGGGGAAAGGAAGAGAGACAAGCTTTGCAACTTACCATTTTGCCTTTTGAATTTTATATTATGGCCATGTATTTTTTAAAGAAAAAAATTACATGCAAAAACTAGCATTTGATGTTAAGATTTTCCAACTGGATCTGCTTTGTGGCTAAAAGTTTCCCTCCCCTGTAGCTTGAATATATACAACTAAAAGATATGTATAGATATGTATATGCAACTATATATATACAACTAAAATGTGTACAATGCAATGTTTTGATATATGTCTATCTTGTGAGGTGAGATACCATAATCAAGCTAATTCAAATTCACACATCCATCACCTCACACAGTTACCATTTCTATGTGTGTGTGGTGAGAACATTTAAGCTTTTTTTTTTTTTTTTTTTGAGATGGAGTCTTGTTCTGTCTCTCAGGCTGGAGTGCAATGGCGTGATCTTGGCTCACTGCAACCTCCACCTCCCAGGTTCAAGCGATTCTTCTGCCTCAGCCTCCCGAGTAGCTGGGATTAAAGGCGTGCACCACCATGCATGGCTAATTTTTGTATTTTTAGTAGAGTCAGGATTTCGACGTGTTGGCCAGGCTGGTCTCGAACTCCTGACCTCAGGTAATCCACCCTCCTCGGCCTCCCAAAGTACTAGGATTACAGGCATGAGCCACATTACCTGGCCACATTTAAGCTTTTTAACTAAAAGTTTATTGGGAGAATAAAGTGGAGGGCAGTTAAAATCCCTCTAGTGGAAGAAAAGACCTGGACAATATGAGCTGTGTTCATTATGACCACTGGGAAGATGAGTTTCACCCTTCACATGACTATATGGTGAGAACATGTTTCTCAGCTGAGACAAGATTTCAGGAAAGTTTGCAAGAACCGAGAGAAAATGGAAGAAAATGAAATATTTGTTCTTCAGAGTCACCAGTTTTATTATATGCCTGGACTCTGTCACTTATGTCAATAAATTTACAAATGCAAAATACACATTTAATTCCAGCGTGGTAGCATACACCTGTAGTCCTAGATACTCAGGAGGGTGAGTATCTAGGACTACAGGTGTGTGCTACCACGCTTGAACTCAGGAGTTCAAGGCCAGCCTGGACAACACAGGGAGACCCCCTCTCTAAATGTATATACACACATACACACACACACACACACACACACACATTCAAACATTGGAATCAGATGTCCTGGACAAAATGCTCAAATCAGCTGAACACTTTGGAATGCTTAACTTTTCTTTTTTTTAGATGTTTATTTATTTATTTATTTTGTTTTTTATTTTATTATTATTATACTTTAAGTTTTAGGGTACATGTGCGCAATGTGCAGGTTTGTTACATATGTATACATGTGCCATGTTGGTGTGCTGCACCCATTAACTCGTCATTTAGCATTAGGTATATCTCCAAATGCTATCCCTCCCCCCTCCCCCCACCCCACAACAGTCCCCGGAGTGTGATGTTCCCCTTCCTGTGTCCATGTGTTCTCATTGTTCAATTCCCACCTATGAGTGAGAACATGCGGTGTTTGGTTTTTTGTCCTTGTGATAGTTTGCTGAGGATGATGGTTTCCAGTTTCATCCATGTCCCTACAAAGGACATGAACTCATCATTTTTTATGGCTGCATAGTATTCCATGGTGTATATGTGCCACATTTTCTTAATCCAGTCTATCATTGTTGGACATTTGGGTTGGTTCCAAGTCTTTGCTATTGTGAATAGTGCCGCAATAAACCTACGTGTGCATGTGTCTTTATAGCAGCATGATTTATAATCCTTTGGGTATATACCCAGTAATGGGATGGCTGGGTCAAATGGTATTTGTAGTTCTAGATCCCTGAGGAATCGCCACACTGACTTCCACAATGGTTGAACTAGTTTACGGTCCCACCAACAGTGTAAAAGTGTTCCTATTTCTCCACATCCTCTCCAGCACCTGTTGTTTCCTGACTTTTTAATGATCACCATTCTAACTGGTGTGAGATGGTATCTCATTGTGGTTTTGATTTGCATTTCTCTGATGGCCAGTGATGATGAGCATTTTTTCATGTGTTTTTTGGCTGCATAAATGTCTTCTTTTGAGAAGTGTCTGTTCATATCCTTCGCCCACTTTTTGATGGGGTTGTTTATTTTTTTCTTGTAAATTTGTTTGAGTTCATTGTAGATTCTGGATATTAGCCCTTTGTCAGATGAGTAGGTTGCAAAAATTTTCTCCCATTTCGTAGGTTGCTTGTTCACTCTGATGGTAGTTTCTTTTGCTGGAATGCTTAACTTTTCTTTCCTGCAAGAGGAAGACTGGGAGATTGAGAGGTGTGCCCAGGGTGTCAGCTCAGTGCCTGGTAGAGGCAGGTAACATGAGCTTTGAGCCCTGGCCTGTGGATTGTGTTGTGCTTGGACTGGCCTGTTACGCCATCTGCTTGCTTCTGCCTGAAATTCCTGTAACACAAGATAAAACCTCTCATTCTGCAATTTACCAATAAACCTTATAAAATCTGAGGCTAAGCCTTGTGAAATGGCAAACCCTAGAAAGCCAGAGAGCTGGCATGCGGTAGTTCAGCAGTGGCTGCAGGAAATAGAAGGAAAGGGAGTGAGGAGACAGGGTGCAAGCTGGAATGTGATCACAGGGGAGGGGGATCTCTGGACTATGGGGGAATGACGGGCAGCTTGAGGCCCTGAGATGAAAGACACTCCCTTTAAGAAAAACGTCTGTGACTCAGAGCCACAAGGCGTGTCAGGAGAAAGTTCTGATGAAACTGCATTCCATTCCTGGAGGAATACGCATTGCCATTGAAGTACAAACTCTAAAATGATGTAGGATTAATAATTAAGGCAACACTAGTAGTGGATGGTGGCCCAGAGAGCTTTCCCTAGCTTTGTTAATTTTCTTCTCTCCACAGCTTACGTAAGCAAATATTCACCCAAAGAGTAGAGAATGTTGAGACATTTAGCATTATGTATTAGTCTGTTCTCACAGTGCTATAAAAAAAAAATACCTGAGACTGGGTAATATATGAAGAGAAGTTTAATTGACTCAGTTCCGTAGACTGTACAGGAAGCACAGCTGAGGAGGCCTCAGGACACTTGCAGTCACGGCATGGGGCAAAGGGGAAGCAAGCACATCTTCACATGGCAACAGGAGAGAGAGCAAAGGGGGAAGCGCTACACACTTTTAAGCCACCAGATCTCATGAGAACTCACTCACTATCATGAGGACAGCAAGGGGGAAATTCTCCCCCATGAGCCAATCACCTCCCACCAGGTCCCTCCCCCAACATTAGGAATTACAATTTGCATGAGATTTGTGTGGCCACACGGAGCCAAACCATATCACATTGGTCAACCTATATAGTAATGTTTTTCTTAATCTAAATGTATACTAAGTTAGTGTTTTATCGATTTAAAAATACATCTTGAAAAGGATTTTGCAATTTACTTTTTTTTTTTTTTTGTGAGACAGAGTCTCACTCTTGTCCCCCAGGCTGGAGTGTAGTAGCGTGATCTTGGCTCGCTGCAATCTCTGCCTCCCAGGTTCAAGCAATTCTCCTGCCTCAGCCTCCTGAGTAGCTTGGATTACAGGCGCCTGCCACTACTCCCGGCTAATTTTTTGGTATTTTTAGTAGAGACAGGGTTTCACCATGTTGGCCAGGCTGGTTTCAAACTCCTGACCTCAAGTGATCCGCCCACCTCGGCTTCCCAAAGTGCTAGGATTACAGACGTGAGCCACCATGCCCAGCCCACAATTTCTTTTAAAACTAAACATATACAGTTGTCCATCAGTATCTGCAGGGGACTGGTTCCAGGTCTCCCTGCAAGTACCAAAATCACAGATGCTCAGGAATCTGATATAAAGCAGGGTAGTACTTGCATATAACCCACACACATCCTCCTGTATACTTTAAATCATCTCTAGATTACTTATAATACCTAGTACAAGGTGAAGACTATGTAAACAGTTGTTATACTGTATTTAAAAAAATAATTTCCACTTTCATTTTAGATTCAGGTGGTACATATGCAGGTTTGTTATATAAGTGTATTGCATGATGCTGAGGTTTGGAGTTCAATTGATCCCATCACTCAGATAGTGAGCATAATTATACTGTATACAGTTTAGGAAATAATAACAAGAAAAAAGTCTATACATATTCCATACAGACATGATCATCCTTTCCTCCCACCCCTTGATTTTTTATTGAATTCATGAATATTTGCTGAGTCCATGAATGTGGAACCCACGGATAGGGAAGGCTGACTGCACCTACATTATGACCTGGCAATTCCACACCTAGGTTACTCACCCGGGAGAAATAAAAGCATATGTCCTCAAAGAGGCTTGTTCAAAAATGTCCATAGCTTTATTCATAAATAACTGAAAGCTGAAAACAACCAATAGGAGAATGAATAAACTAACTGTGGTAAATTCAGACAATGAAATACTACACAATAAAAAAGGGAGGAACCGGCTGGGCGCGGTGGCTCACACCTGTAATCCCAGCACATTGGGAGGCCGAGGTGGGTGGATCACCTGGGGTCAAGAGTTCGAGACCAGCCTGGCCAACATGGTGAAACCCCATCTCTACTAAAAATACAAAAATAGTCAGGTGTGGTGGCACGCACCTCCAATCCCAGCTACTCGAAAGGCTGAGGCAGGAGAATCAGCTTGAATCCAGGAGGCAGAGGTTGCAGTGAGCTGAGATTGTGCCACTGCACTCCAGCCTGGGTGACTCTGTCTCAAAAAAAAAGGGGGGGTGGGGGGAGGAACCATTGATACATACAACATCATGATGAATTCCAAAAATGTTGTACTGAATGGAAGAAGCCTTACACAAGAAAGCACATACTGTTTATATATTTATCATCCTAGAACAAGCAAAACTAATCTATGGACTAATCTAAGGTGGGGGCAGGGGAATCCAGAGAAAGGGTTACCTTTGGGAGTTGGGCCATGGGGTTGGGGACCAGCTGTGCAGGGGAGCTTTCAGGGCAGTCTTAAGGTACTGGATCTCACCAGGGGTTTGCCTTGCTTGTATACATGGCCTTCCTTGCAACTTGCTGAATGGCACACTTATAAACTGTGCATTTTTTGTATTTAAATTTTACCTCAAAAGAAGAAGAAATCAACCAACATTGAACTCTAATAAAAGATATGCATGTTGGAACATATGGGGAGAAGTGTATTGCTGACTGCAACATACTTAGAAATGCATTAAAAAGACAAGATGCTTTGGGAGGCCAAGGCGGGTGGATCACCTGAGGTCAGAAGTTCAATACCAGGCTGGCCAACATGATGAGACCCCGTCTCTACTAAAAATACAAAAATTAGCCGGGCATGGTGGTGCACACCTGTAATCCCAGCTACTCAAAAGGCTGAGGCAGGAGAGTCACTTGAGCCCGGGAGGCAGAGGTTGCAGTGAGCCGAGATCATGCCACTGCACTCCAGCCTGGGCAACAGAGTGAGACTCCATCTCAGAAAAAAAAAAAAAAAAGACAAGATAGATTGGTGGGTGGATAAACAGCTGGATAAATGGATAAATAGTAAATGAAGTACAGAAGAATGTTTATTGTTGAATCTAGCTGGTGAGCATATGAGTGTTCACCGTACAGTTTCTTCAATTCTGAGCTATGCTTAAAAGGTTTTATAATAAAATGTTGAAAAAAATTGATCTCGAATTAGAATTAGGAGTTCTAACAAAGAGCTTCTGCTATAACTTACATATTTCTGTAGGAGGTATTCCCATGAAGTTGGGGCAGTGGGAAGGCAGAGAAGTTGCAAGGAGAAAAATCTGTCAGTAATGGAAGGCTCTTATATTGCATTCGTTTCCCAAACACTGGCATATCATAGAGCTTCAATAAAAGCTTTTTGAATGAATGAAATGAATAAGACATTCCTCAACCAATGACTGCAGAAACTATAAAGGAATGATTCTGACATGAATATTACAGAAAACTCCGTGAGGGTATATACTTAGGCCAAAGAATAAACAAGTGTCTGAAATTATCAGACTTTAATACTCATTCCAGTGAATGTTTCTAAAGGACCAAAGGGATGAAAAAGAGAAATTTAAAGTCATATCTAAGACTAGCTTTTTGACTTGACACGTGACTCAGCCACTTTTGTATTACCACTGCCATCTTTGAATTAACACTGGAGAAGTATCTAGAACAATTGTGTTTTTCTCAGAGGTTGGAGGAAACGAGCATGACTCTTCCCCAAAATGCATTACTTCTCAAAAACTTACAGGGCTATTCTCTTTTATAGGTTTTTGTTTCTGTTTTTGTTTTTGAGACGGAGTCTCGCCCTGTCGCCCAGGCTGGAGTGCAGTGGCGCCATCTCGGTTCACTGCCACCTCCGCCTCTCGGGTTCAAGTGATTCTTCTGCCTCAGCGTCCCGAGTAACTGGGACTACGGGCCCAGCTAATCTTTTTTGTAGTTTCTGAAAATTTCTTTCACCTGTAGTACATGCAGACCCTGTCTCCATTTATTTTCCTTGGCCTGTTCTTTTTTTTGACAATCTCACTCCATTGCCCAGGCTGGAGTGCAGTAGCATGAACTTGGCTCACTGCAACCTCCACTTCCCAGGTTCAAGAGATTCTCGTGACTCAGCCACCTGAGTAGCTGGGACTACAAGTGTGCGCCACCATGCCTGGCTAACTTTTGTATTTTTAGTAGAGATGGGGTTTCACCATATTGACCAGGCTGGTCTCGAACTCCTGACCTCGTGATCCACCCACCTCGGCCTCCCAAAGTGCTGGGATTACAGGCATGAGCCACCACACCCGGCCTCTTTTATAGGTTTCTATGTAAGTAACATAAAGACTCTGGCAAGCAGTTAAAGCTCTTTAATTGTTCACCATTCTGGGCACTTAGGGTTGTGTTCTTTCTTGGTTTTGGAATAGCTTATGCTTACCTCTTTAATAACAGAGTAGAATTCTACTGTATAAGAGATCCTGGGCCGGGCGCAGTGGCTCACACCTGTAATCCCAGCACTTTGGGAGGCCAAGATGGGTGGATCATGAGGTCAGGAGTTCAAGACCAGCCTGCTCAATATGGTGAAACCCCATCTCTACTAAAAATACAAAAAGTTAGCCAGGCATGGTGGTGCATGCCTGTAATCCCAGCTACTTGGGAGGCTGAGGCAGGAGAATCGCTTGAACCTGGGAGGCAGAGGTTTCAGTGAGCCAAGATCGTGCCATTGCTCTCTAGCCGGGAGACAAGAGTGAAACTCTGTCTCAAAAGAAAAACAGAGATCCTGGGGGACAAGGGTGACACCCTTTACCAGGACAAGAGGCGTATTCAGGGACAGTGGGCTGGGGTAACTCAGAAAATCAAGATGAAATTTTTTTCCCCAGAAAAATCTCAAATTTTTCTTTGTTTTAACTGATTTCCGGTTTGACACTCCACAAGCAAAGTTAATTTTTAGGAACTTCTTAAGTTTAAGGACTATGTATTAGCACTGACCATGTGTCCCGCATTTTTGATGTATCGAGAAACAAGAGGGGCTCAGCTGTTTCTTGTCTGTCTTCACAGTCAAGGCCACATACTTTTTCCTGCCTTTTTAAAAAAGTAAGCTCAATCAGAAAAGCTGAAAAATAGCACACAAACAGCCAAATACCCCTCACATGGATTTAACAACTGTTATTATTTCATCATGTTTGCTTATCTCTTGATAGATAGGTAGGTAGATAAATAGACAGCAGATACCATATTTTTTTCCTAAGCCATTTGAAAGTAAGTTGCAGATGATACGATGTATCATGCTGACACACTTCAGAATGCATCCCCTCAAAATATATATCAAGGCTAGATTTTGAAGAGAGAAGTGGTGATGCTTTTTTTTTCTTTTTTTTTTTTTTAAGCTTGACTGGGTCATTGAGAGAGACTATGTTCTGGGCATTGTATTGAAAGAAGGTAGGTTGAAGTTCAGGTAGTTTTGGAGCCTGCAAGTTTTTTGTATTTTTGTGTTTTTCAGACAGGGTCTTGCTCTGTCCCCCAGGCTGGTGTGCATTGGTGTGATCACCACTCACAGCAGCCTTGACCTCTGGGGCCCAAGCCATCCTCCCACCTCCGCCTCTGGAGTAGCTGGAACTACAGGCATGCACCACCATGCCCAGCTAATATCAGCCTGCAGTTTTGACTTGGACTTGGATTTTATAACTGGCTCAACAAAATTATATCCACTGTTAGTCTGTTTGGGCTACTATGGCAAAAATACCTGAAACTGGGTGTCTTTTAAACAGAAATTTATTTCTCACAGTTCTGAAGGCTGGGAAGTCCAAGATCAATACCTCAGCTGACTCAGTGTCTGATGAGGGCCTGTTTCCCAGTTCACAGACAGCCATCTTCTCCCTGTGTCCTCACATGGTGGAAGGGGCAAGGGAGCTCTCTGCAGTCTCTCTGTAAGGGCACTAATCCCACTCACAAGTGCTCCACCCTCATGTCCTAGTCACCTCCCAAAGGCCCCATCTGCTAATACCATCACCTTGGGGATTAGAATACCAGTGTATGAATTTGGAGGGGAGATAAGCATTCAGTCCATTGCACCCTTATTTCCAAGGCCCAGGGATAACGCTGAGCTCCTCTGTGGGTGAAGCACATTCAGCTATAAAACAGTATCTTAAGATTTTCTTCTCGAGTTAGATTTGGTACGTAGATAACGACCTTTAACTATTTGCATCTATGCAGCTTTTACTTCCACCTCCTCAACCCACTGTCTACAATTCTCACATAGAATTAAGAATAATTTTGCATAGCAGATAATTGGCTGAGCATGCGGTATTCTTTTGACCCATTCAAGTGAATAAAATACTGTATAGGAACACTGTCACAATTTAAATGAAATTAAATTTCTTGCCCCTTTTCCTCCCCCGACCATTTAGTCTTTGGGTAGCAACAGAGATCACTAACATGATATAACAATTAATGTAGTTTTGTTTCAGGGCATTAATTTGATACAAATTGTAATTCTGTTCTCATCAGTTCTGTAAATTGCTTTACTGTAATTACACCAAGTATTTGATCAAATATTGCCGATATTTCCATCTGTTTAGTGTATGGTATTATGATTTCAAAATTGATTCTAGATTTAGTCCAATAATTTTTAGAATGTCTCTTTCTATATAAAAGTCAATGCAGAAATAATAATATTTTGAGATAAAAAATAAAGGCATCTTCTAGTTAATATAACAGATTTTAGTCACATTTATATTCTTTAATGTTCAGTGTATGTATCCACTACATGAGAAACTCAAGACACAAACAAAATGGTTATATTTACTGCAACACTAAGCAATATGGAACATTAAAAAGAATATGTATTCATAAACAAGACAAAAGATGGTATAGCAACATAAAATTTACAAGAACATTATAGCTGGACTGTATAGGAAGAGCTTGACTGATTTCTTTCCACAATGCATTTTCATCAAAACTCATACATATTCAGAGATACAAATAGCATACCAGTGAATTCAATGAACTGCCACTGAAACCAAAACATTATTTCCTAGCATCTGTTTGTGGGAATTATGTAAAATACTTAATGCAATGTGTTTTCATTGCAATCCTATTTTTGTTTCCCAAGCAGTGAATTTTCATTTAAACCAATATGTTTACCTGAGACCCACACACATGCATTTATTGGAACTGAAATACAGCTACAGATACAGGCAACACGTCTGAGGCCAAACCAATGCATTTTGATGCAACTCAGCCAATTTTCCACAACATGTGTTCTGATTCTCTAGGGATATAAAGCCCCATATAATGGTAAATGCACTGAATTGTGATGACAAGGAGGGGAAACTGATGTCTGGATTGTAAAGAAATACAGGAGCCTCAGCTCTCTGGAAACCTTGCCACCAAAAGCGTGCTTCAGGGACCAGCAGCATTGGTGTCACCTGGGGAGATTGTCAGAAAGACAGAATCTCAGGCCCCACTCTAGACCTACTGATTCAGAATCCAAATTTTAACAAGATCCCCAAGCGATTTGTTTCCACAGTAAAATTTGAAAAGCAGTGTTTTAAAGCAAACTTCTAAATGGTCATAGTTAACTTTAGGGTAATACTCTAAGTTTTCTGAGATGGAAAGCACAGCATGGTGACTACAGTTAATAATAATGTACTATATACTTGATGAATATGTTAATTCATCAAGTTAATTACTACAAATTGGTTGTAATAATCCTTTCACAGTGTATACTTATATCAAAACATCACATTGTGCACCTTGGATATATGTACTTGTTATTTGTCAATTATACCTCAGTGAACCAGAAAAACAGTTTTCTGTGGCAAGCACTTTTCTCCAGTGGACAGAGAGTTCGGTTGAAACTAGCTTGCTTTATATGCAAAAGCAACCCCAACCCCTTTTTCTTTTATAGGACATGTGATACATGAATTTATTTTTCTTGTGAACACTCAAAGAATTCAGAAGTCTGCTGAGCATTCTCTTCATTTTTATTAATTAATTAATTTCTTTTAGAAATGGAGTCTCACTCGGTTGCCTAGGCTGGAGTGCAGTGACACAATCATAGCTCACTGTAGCCTCAAATTCCTGGGCTCAAGCAATCCTCCTGCCTCAGCCTCCCAAGTAGCTAGGATGACAGGACTATGTGCACCATCACACCTGGCTAATATTTTAATTTTTTGTAGGGGCAGGGTTTTACTATGTTACCTAGGCTAGTCTCGAACTCCTGACCTCAAGCAATTATCCTGCCTCGGCCTCCCAAAGTGCTGGGATTATAGGCATGAGCCACATGCCTGGACCTTCTTTTACCAAAGTTACTCACCATCAATACTTTCACTTCCCTTTAGTTTCTTTTCTATGAATTTATGTACATATTATATATATGCAAACATTTAAAAAACATAAGTGGGATATATTAGTATATTGTTACATATTATATACATATTATCTTTTTCATTTACCTACATGTTCCTGAGGTCTTTCTTTGTCTCTGCTGGTCAACTTCAATCTATAACCAACCGCATGGTCCTCTGCAGTATGGACACACCATAATTTCTATAGCCAGCTTCCTATTTATGGACATTTGTATTATTTTTATTTTTGCTTCTATTATAAACAATGCCGTAGGACTATACGATTCTGACCCTCCCTAAACTGCTCCTAAGATCAGTGCTTGAGATATTTTGCATACCCTGCACTTGATAGATCAGCTGGCCCCACCCAGATAATAAACTGGCTCATCTGATCTTGTGGCCCCCACCCAGGAACTGACTGAACACAACAAGACAGCTCTGACTTCCTATGATTTCATCTCTGACGAGTCAGCACTCCTAGCTCACTGGCTTCCCCCAACCCACCAACTTGTCCTTAAAAACTCTGCTCCCCGAATGCTTGAGGAGACTAATTTAAGTAATCATCAAACTCCGGTCTCCTGCAAAAATAAAAAATAAAAAATAAAAATAAAAAATAAACTATGCCATATGAACATTCTTGAACATCTATCTTTTTGAGAATTTCTTTAGATTATATTCCCAGAAATGGAATTTTAGGGACAAGAGAAAGAGAGAAAAGCATATGGTAATAGACTCACACTCAGTAGTGATCAAATGTAAATTAAACAATAGAGCCCTTTCCCTTCTTCAGGTTGGTAAAAATGAAAAAGAATGATGCACTTGTGGTAGGTGTATGAATTGGTAAAGCCTTCTAGGAAGAAAGTTTAGCAATAGCCAATCAAAAGCTTTGATGTTCAGGAAGGTGAGGTGCAGGCTGCTTCCAGGGCTGGTGGGGTTTGCCTCAGAGGGGCGGGCGTGGAGCCCCAGAAGGCCTGAGTCCCATGCCTTACAACTCGCAAACAAACCTCCTTCATTCCATGGGACACTTCCTTTAGGCAGGCAAGCCCCAGAGGGACAGTGAGAACTTGCTCCAGTGTCAGCAACCCCATGGCACTCACACTTCCACCTCCTCTTCCCGCGGGCTCCTTGACACCGGGGTTAGCCTGTAGCCCCCCTCTCTCTCCCGTCAGAGTGGCTTTACTTGAATTGTCCTACTGCCCTTCCCAGCACCTGGCTTTAATTGGGGCTGCTCTGGGCCACTTTGCCAGGAATCCTGAAGTTGATTTGTAGGGAACAGGGATTGAGTGACCGGGCCCTACCTCCGCTCCCCAAAAACAATGTCCTGTTCTCATGTGCTGGCCCACCTCCTCCCCAGGACCTGGGTCCCTACGCTGAACACTGAGGTGGCTTTTGCTCAGCTAGTCTCCAAGACAGCACGAGCCTATTTTGCCTATATTGGTAAGAGTAATGGAGCTGTTCATTCCAGTTATCTTTCACTGGACTGAAAGGATTGGCTTAAAAAATTACTGTACCCTACTGCGATATTGAAAAATATATATTTCATCTTCCACCTTGTTTCCCTGTGTACAACTCCTAAATTCCTTGGAATCTCCAAAGTGATGTCTTTTTTGTGTGCTGATGAGTTGACAGATGGCCGGCAGCCCATCGGTAGCTTCAGAACGGAGACTGGTCATGGGAAAGGCTAAGCCATGGTTAGAGGGTTGGGGCTTTCAGCCTCATCCCCCAACCTCTGGGAAGGGAAGAGGGGCTGAAGTAAAGTTAATCACCAATGACCAAGAGTTTAATCAATCATGCCTACATAATAAAGCCTCCATCAAAGCCCAAAAGAACCATGTTTGGAGACCTTCTGGGTAGCTGACCACGTGGAGGTTCCTGGAGGGTGTGGTGCTTGGGAAGGACGTGGAAACTGCTTCTGCCTTCCCCCATACTTTACCCTATGCATCTATTAATCTTTATCCTTTGTAATATCCTTTATAATAAATCGGTGTTTCCCTGAGTTCTGTGAGC
This sequence comes from Homo sapiens, assembly GCF_000001405.40. NCBI lineage: Eukaryota > Metazoa > Chordata > Mammalia > Primates > Hominidae > Homo > Homo sapiens. The sequence goes on from NC_000006.12 coordinate 10,451,551, forward strand.
TGCTCTAGCATATTAATCAAACCCAAGGAAGGGCCACCGGAGGGGGCCATAGGACCCCTGATTTATAGCCAGTCAGATGCACAGATAAAACAACGTGGAGCTTGCAGTTGGCATCAGGAGTGAGGGGTGGTCTTGGGGAATGAGTCCTCAACCTGTGCCTTCTTACACTATCTCTAGGTAGCTAGTGTCTGAATTGAATTGAATTGGAAGAGTCTCGGCTAGAGTCCACAGAAGAATTGTTTGCTTCTTGGTATGTGGGGAAAAAAAACCCCACACATGCGGCCACAGAAGTCTTCTGTGTTGGGTGAGAGAATAGAAGAAACGCGTTCAGTCTGTATTTTTTTCCTCTCAGGTCTGCTGTGCTGAGACTCATGGCAAACCCCAGGAGCCACCTATGATGTGCCAGACACATAAGCCCCTCCCTCACAGGCGTGGGTGCAGCCGGGGCCGACCGCATTCCAAGGAGCATTTCCTCTGAAAGCCAGGCCAAGTGCCCGCTCTCCAGCGTGAGTCAAGCAGTGCCATGCCTCCCACACCCCTTGCATCACATCTCTGGGAATGCACAGACCTTGCTGTTACGCTCTCTCTTCCCACCCTTTATGGGTGTTTTCTTTAAGTGGCAGAAGGAAGTGGGCATGGGTTGGGAGAGGACCATGAATTCTAGTTTCTGCCATACTGCAGGTGGATTTGGGGAAGAAGAGAGTCTCCTTTCTGGCCCACACCACAGGGACATTCAGAAGCAGTTGTTAAAGGGGGAGCAGCATTGGCTGGGCCCAGGGAAGGACAAGTAGATGACTGTATAAAGCCAGGCATGAGAGCAGTTGGAATAAGTTGTTTCACTCATAAATTTATGGTGAGCCTTGTCCATATTGTTAATGGCATATTCTTGTGAAGCAGACCTACATACTTCTGAAAAGCACGGCCTTGTTCCCTGCTCAGCTAACTCTGTCTGATCTCCTGACATATATATGTGGCAATTTGGAATTCTAAGCAGAGTTCAAAATTCTAGGCCAAGATTGGGATTTGGAGGAGAAAAGGGGCCAGTTCCAGAGCAAGGGGAAGAATAAAATCTCTCCACTGTGGACACTGAAATGAGACTGATAATGACCTATTTATTATCCATCTAGGGCAGACCCCACAGGCAGGGGTCATGCATGGGGGAGTTCAAAACCTAGTTCATCAGGTTCTTTCCTCCAGGATTTTGGTCTAGGCAACATCAGATGAAAACGAACACTAAGGGCAATCCTGAAGAACCAAAAGAAACTGGCAATGGACAGGTATAAAAGTGTGTGTGCGCGTACCTGTGTGTGCGCGCGCATCTGTGTGTGTGCGCGCACCTGTGTGCTTGCACCTGTGTGTGTGCGCGTACCTGTGTGTGCCCGTGTGTGCGCGCACCTGTGTGTGTGTGTGCACGTGCTGACATTCAAGGCAACAGCAGGGCTTCTTTACTACTAATCAACCTTTTTCTTCTCTGTTGGCCATGCACTTCCGTATGGCTCAGCAAACGTGCAAAGGAAGGAATAGTGGGAGTTGGAGAGGAAGAAGGCAAAACCTGGTCTATGTGTGGCTCTGAGGTTTTTGTTTGTTTTTTAAAATGTAATCCACTAAATTCACCTCTGGGACCATGTGAAATGTGACTCAGGAATGGGAAAATGATTTTAGCTCAGGAAATGCCACTGCCTTCCTAGAAATAGCTTTGGCTCAAGTGAAAAAGAGATGGGCAGGCCAGGCGTGGTGGCTTACACCTGTAATCCCAGCACTTTGGGAGGCCGAGGCGGGCGGATCATTTCAGGTCAGGAATTTGAGACCAGCCTGGCTGACATGGTGAAACCCGGTCGCTACTAAAAATTCCAAAAATTAGCCGGGCATCGTGGCGGGCACCTGTAGTCCCAGCTACTCAGGAGGCTGAGTCTGGAGAATGGCTTGAACCCAGAAGATGGAGGCTGCAGTGAGCCAAGATCGTGCCACTGCACTCCAGCCTGGGCAACAGAGCGAGACTCCATCTTAAAAAAAAAAGAAAAGAAAGAAAAAGAAATGGGCAAGACAAAACCAAGTTTAAGAATGCAAGTTTATTACTTATGAAATTATAGATTGCAGGAACCAGAGACTTAAGTTTCTCCAGGCAGTAGTGTATATTATCAGGATGAGGTAAGGAACACCAGACCAACAGGGCAGACAGGTCTGATGAAGGAAAGGGACCTGAAGGTCATTCTGAATCCAGTGGAGCTCTAAGTAGGTCAACTTTTGGCCTCCTCAGACCAACATCCCTTTGTGGTGACTCAAGACCAATGTCTACCTCAGGGTCAGGCTGGTTTGGTCAACCACCTCCAGTATGGCTGACTTAGTTTTCAAATTCAGCCACAAGGATCACATTGAGGAGTCTTTTTTTCAGAGACAGGGTCTTGCCCTGTTGCCCAGGCTGGAGTGCAATGGTACAATCATAACTCACTGCAGCCTCGACCTCTTGGGCTCAAGCAATCCTCCTGCCTCAGCCTCCTGAGTAGCTGGGACTACAGACACACACCACCATGCCCAGCTATTTATTTTATTTTTGTAGAAATGGGTCTTGCTATGTTGCCCAGGCTGGTCTTCAACTCCTGATCCTCCCATCTTGGCCTCCCAAAGTGCTGGGATTACAGGCATGAGCCACCTTGCCCAGCTGATCTTGAGGAGTAGTTCTTTCTTTGCTCTGAAGCCCCATGGCTTCATTTGAATGTATGACTAAGCCCCTGTTAATGGTAACCAGTGAAATGAATTATTATTTTTTTTATCATTTTTATTTTTTTTTGAGTCAGAATCTTGCTCTGTCGCCCAGGCTGGAGTGCAGTGGCACTATCTAAGCTCACTGCAACCTCTGCCTCCTGGGTTCAAGCGATTCTCCTGCCTCAGCCTGCCGAGTAGCTGGGATTACAGGCGCCAGCCACCACGCCTGGCTAATTTTTTCTATTTTTAGTAGAGATGGGGTTTCACCACGTTGGCCAGGCTAGTCTCGATCTCCTGACCTCGTGATCCTCCCACCTCGGCCTCCCCAAAGTGCTGGGATTACAGGCGTGAGCCACCGAGCTTGGCCAGTGAAATGAATTATTAAACATTATTAACCTTGGTATTGATATATCAAAATTAATTTACTAAAGAGTGTTGTGGCCCACACCTGTAATCCCAGCACTTTGGGAGGCCAAGGTGAGAGGATTTCTTGAGCCCAGGAGTTCAAGACCAGCCTGGGCAACAAGGCCAGACCCCATCCCTACAAAAAATTTTTTTAAAAAAATAGCCACCAGGTATGGTGGTGCACGCCTGTGGTCTCAACTGCTTGGGAGGCTGAGGCAGGAGGAATGTTTGAGCCCAGAAGGTCGGGGCTGCAGCAGTGAGCTGTGATCACACCACTGCATTCCAGCTTGGGTAACAGAGTGAGATCTTTTCTCAAACAAACAAACAAACAAACAAAAAAAAGATTTGGAATCAATATCCTAGCAAGACTCTGGGTTGCAACTTTGCAAATCTTCTGCTGTGCACGTTTGTTGTTGTTGTTGAGACACAGTCTCGCTCTGCTGCCCAGGCTGGAGTGCAGTGGCACAATCATTGCTCACTGAAACCTCGACCTCCTGGACTCAAGCATTCCTCCCGCGTCAGCCTCCCAAGTCTCTGGGACTATAGGCGTGCACCACCACGCCTGGCTAATTAAATAAAAAATTGTGGGTGCCAGGCGCGGTGGCTCACGCCTATAATCCCAGCACTTTGGGAGGGCGAGGAGGGTGGATCACGAGGTCAAGAGATTGAGACCATTCTGGCCAACCTGGTGAAATCCAGTCTCTACTAAAATTACAAAAATTAGCCGGGCGTGGTGGCGCATGCCTGTAGTCCCGGCTACTCGGGAGGCTGAGGCAGGAGAATCACTTGAAGCCGGGAGGCAGAGGTTGCAGTGAGCCGATATTGTACCACTGCACTCCAGCCTGGCGACAGAGCAAGACTTCGTTTCAGAAAAAGAAAAAAAATTTTTTTTTTTTGTAGAAACAGAGTCTTTCTATGTTGCCCAGGCTGATCGCAAACTCCTGGGCTCAAGGGATCCTCTCACCTCCCAAAGTGCTGGGATTACAGGCCTGAGCCACCTTCCCCAGCCCTATGCACATTTTCACAAAGATATTTTGAACCCTAGCAGTGGGAAAGGATACTTTTTGACTGGTGACATCCCAGAGCTACCTTGAGTTCTTGTGGTTTTCAATGGATATTGCTGATTTTTGTTTAAATTTTGGTCAAATTTGTTTACATTAAAGGAGCATAGTTTTGTGTTTATTTCGGTTGGCTTGGCGACATTGTCTTAAACATGGTATGATACACATAAGCCTATAATTTTTTTTAATTAAGTGAAGTAAAAGCCTGACATTAACACTTTGTGTAGGTTTATGTAAGTAATTTATTCCTGAAACTAATGCCTCTTCAAATGGAGGGTTTTGTTTGTTTGTTTGTTTATGGGAATTTTAAGTAATTTTCAGTGCCTGAGAATGTTCTCCATAAAACCTGTAACAAAACACATAATAATGGTTCCAGTGAAAATAGTTATCTCAAAGTTGGATTGGATTTGAAATTCTAAATACCCTATGACTAGGGTATCAAAATTTAAGGTTTGGTCAAATGTAACTTTTTAGGTGTCTTGTGTATGGTACAAGTTTGAAAGTGTTTATGTGCACTACCTGTTCCATTCATCATATCTACCCATATCTGTATCACTTAAAATGAATACTTTTAGGTTTATTAAAAAGTAACACTTCAAGCAAGCAAATGGAAATTATTTTGCAGTAACTACAAATAATAGAGAAGTATTAACATAGAGTTGTGGGCCATGACCTAGTGGGTTGTTTGTCACTGTTTATTTTCTGCCATTTCCTAGGGGTGAATTGCATCCTGTACTGTTTACAGCCTTATCTCCAACTTTTGCAGAGTCAAGAATTTAAAAGCAGCAGGGCTTGGTGGCCCATGCCTGTAATCCCAATATTTTGGGAGGCCGCAGCGGGAGGATCACTTGAGGCCAGGAGTTCCAGACCTCCCTGGGCAACATGATGAGACCACATCTCTACAGAAAAATTAGCTGGGCATGCTGGCATGTGCCTGTAGTCCCAGCTCCTCAAGAGGCTGAGGTGGGAGGATCACTTGAGCCCAGGAGGTCAAGGCTGCAGTGAGCTATGATCACACCAATGCACTCTAGCCTGGGGACACAGTGAGACCCTGTCTCAAAAAAAAAAAAAAGAGGAATTTAAAAGCATTTACTACTATCTAGTGTACTATATACTTATTATTAGTTTATTTTTGGTCTCCCTCACCAGAATGTAGGCTCCTTAAAGGCAGTAGTATTGCACATAATAGGGACTAATATACCTTTATTGAATTAATTAATGAGGGCCAAGATATCTCATGTATTGGGTATCTACTATGTGCCAAGCCTTTTACTAGGTGCTTTACACACACATTTATATTGTGCCACTTAAAACTTATAGTAACTCTAAAAGATGATGGCTGGGTGCACTGGCCCACACCTGTAATCCCAGCAAGTTGGGAGCCCAAGGTGGGAGGATGGCTTGAGGCCAGGAGTTTGACACCAGCAGGGAGAACATAGCAAGACCTCATCTCTACAAAATTAAAAAAAAAAATACAAAAATTAGCCGAGTGTGGTGGTGCACACCTGTAGTCCCAGGTACTTGGGAGGTTGAGGTGGGAGGATCACTTGAGCCCAGGAGGTTGAGGCTGCAGTGAGCTATGATTGTACCACTGCGCTCCAGCTCAGATAACAGAGCCAGACCCTATCTCTAAAATTTAAATAAATAAATAAATAAATAAATAAATAAATAAATAAATAATGTCTATTATCCCCATTTTGAAAAAAAAAAAAAATCTGAGAGAAGGCCAGACACCATGGCTCAAACCTGTAGACAGAGACGGGCAGAAGGCTTGGTCAAGAGTTCGAGACCAGCCTGGCTAACATGGTGAAAACCCCTGCCTCTACTAAAAATACAAAAATTAGCCAAGTATGATGGTGGCGCCTGCTATCCCAGCTACTTGGGAGGCTGAGGCAGAATTGCTTGAACCCGGGAGGCAGAGGTTGCAGTGAGCTGAGATCACACCACTGCACTCCAGCCTGGGTGACAGAGCGAGTATCCATCTCAAAAAAAAAAAAAAAAAAAAGCCTGAGAGAGAAATCAAGCAATATGCCCCAAATTACACTACTAGCAAATAACAAAATCAAAATTCAATCCCAAGTCTCAATTTTCTTTTCAAATTCTTCACTTACTATATCCGTTTCCTGTTGCTGCTGTAGCACGTTACTGTGCACTTTCTCACGGTGCAGGAGATGAGAAGTCTGAAATCAAGGAGTCAGCAAGGCCACAGTCCCTCCAGAGGCTCCAGGAGAGAATCCATTCCTTGCCTCTTCTGGCTGTCAAAATTCTGTGGCTTGGAGCCGCATGGCTCCAATGTCTGCCTCCAAGGTCACACGGCTTCCTCCTCTTCTGTCTGTGTGAAGTCTCCCTCTGCCTCTGTCTTATAAAGACACTTGTGATTGCATTTAGGATACCCCTAGAGAATCCAGGATAATTGCCTCATCCCAAGATCCTTAACTTTACATCTGTAAAGTCTTTTTTTTTTTTTTTTTTTTGCCATATAAGGTAACACTCACAGGTCCAGGGTTAAGATGTGGATATCTTTTGGAGAGCCTAACACACACATCTTAAAAAGAGAATTTGTGCTCAGGTCCCCAGGGCCAAGACAAGGCGTGCTCTCCAGCACAGTCATGCCAATTACAACACTCAGGCAAAGCCCAAGGGGTGCTGGGGTCCTTTACAAGATGCAGTCACTTTTGTCTGGATCTGGACCTTATAACCTGAGCCTAGTGCAGCAGAGGGGGTTGGAGGAGTGAGGACTGGATGGGCCAGATGCCAGGAAGGTAAAAAGATAAATGCTGATTTGTCAGATATGAGTGCTTGGTGACTGTAGGGTTCCTGAAAACAGAAGGAAGAGAGAGGAAGGAAATATGTTTCATGAATATAAAAAGAATTTAAGTATTCACTTTAACCAAGTGATCAGGCTTAGTGTCACCAATATGAAAAAAAAAAGGTGACATTGTTCACTTCTGGTGTGATTCAATAAGATACTCAACATCACCTGTTCAACACTCTTAACAAAGCTAAAAAGTAAATAAATAAATAAAGGTTAAATCACTTGGAAACCATCAGACAAATCCAGAATGTGGGACATTTTATGAAACAACTGTCTTGGATGCTTCAAAATATTTCAGTACCATGAAAAAAATCTGAGGAGATTGTTCTAAATTAAAAGGCACTAAAGACACATAGACCAAAGTAGCACTTGAACCTTAATTGGATCCTGGGTGGTGGTGGTGGTGGTTGTTGTTGTTGTTTTTCATTTTTTTATTATTATACTTTAAGTTTTAGGGTACATGTGCACAACCTGCAGGTTTGTTACATATGTATACATGTGCCATGCTGGTGTGCTGCACCCATTAACTCGTCATTTAGCATTAGGTATATCTCCTAATGCTATCCCTCCCCCCTCCCCCCACCCCACAACAGTCCCTGGTGTGGTGTGTGATGTTCCCCTTCCTGTGTCCATGTGTTCTCATTGTTCAATTCCCACCTATGAGTGAGAACATGCGGTGTTTGGTTTTTTTGTCCTTGCGATAGTTTGCTGAGAATGATGGTTTCCAGCTTCATCCATGTCCCTACAAAGGACATGAACTCATCATTTTTTATGGCTGCATAGTATTCCATGGTGTATATGTGCCACATTTTCTTGATCCAGTCTATCATTGCTGGCTGGACATTTAGGTTGGTTCCAAGTCTTTGCTATTGTGAATAGTGCCGCAATAAACATACGTGTGCATGTGTCTTTATAGCAGCACGATTTATAATCCTCTGGGTACATACCCAGTAATGGGATGGCTGGGTCAAATGGTATTTCTAGTTCTAGATCCCTGAGGAACCGCCACACTGACTTCCACAATGGTTTTAAAAAAACAAAAAAAACAGCTATTAAGGGCATTCTGGGAACAATTAGGAAAATATAAATAGGAACTATTTTATCATAGGATATTGAATTAACATTAATTTTCTTTTTTTAAAATACATGTTAGCAGCAGATTTGTATTAGATGGAGGATAACAAGGGTTAGGTAAGCAGTAACAAATGGCAAGTACAGCCATGCTACAGAGGAGTGAAGGCATTACTGGGTATGGGAATGGGCACTTATGAAATCTAAGGGTCAGGTCTCCTGACGAACTCTGACCACCCAGTAAGCTCTTCTCCTTGGCACGCAATATGACCAGTGCTGGCATGAAAGCGTCTACAGTAGCTAGTTCAACTTGGCCAACCGTTCTTCCAGTTCTGGTCGAGCTTTGAATCTTCCCTTGAAGTCTTCTTCAGTGTGCTCCTTCAACGACAATCTGACTCCTTCAGGAAGACTGCTTTGGATTATTTCCAAGAAAATCTCTGCAAACGTAGCACTCAAACTGCTGATGTGAACCACTCGCTCATGGGTGGTAAGCACTGAGTCCAGGAACGTTTTGCTGCCTTGGTCCTGCAACCACAACACTTCAGTGGTTTTGGTTGGCATCACATAACTTTCCTCGACTTTAATGGAGAGAGAGTTGCAGAAGTTGTGAACATACTGGGCATAACTCTCTGCCAGGGTCATGTCATATGCAGGCAGGTGAATGTTTAAAACCCCATATTCATCATCTGTCCCCAAATTAATGAGTTTCACTTCCACTTTTTGCTTCTTCTCGGGCTCTTCTGCTTTAATTAGGTGCTTGTACTTTCCAATGGCGTGGGTGGGCTTTGTCTTGTAGGGCCGACTAGTACTTAGTAGAATGCCACCTACAGAATAGATGGGCTTCTCTGCTGAAGTTCTAAGCCTTAAGAGTGAAAAGCCTTGCTTAAAAGTGGTATTGTTCCTCAGGCACAGCACTTTTTCCAAGGTTCTGCTCATCCTTTGCTGCTGCATGGCCTCTAGCTGTGCAAACCGAAGACCCGCCCCCCCAACATTAATTTTCTTAGATGTGATAATGTTTTATGTCAGAAAGAAATTTTTAATCTCACAAGATACATGTGAAGTATTTAGGGATGAAGTATCCTGGTGTTTGCAACCAACACGGAGTACAATTAAATGAAGGGTATGTGGGTGTTTGTTGGACTATTCCTCCAACTTTTCTGTAGGTTATACTTTCTTTCCACATAAAAAAGAAAAAAAATGTTGATGCTTATCTGGTGAATTTGGTGGTGCTCTTCACCAGTGATGAGTGACGGGAGTTTGTCAGTAACTTATAATTGCTGCGCTGTCTTTGGATTGCTCTATTTTCAGTAATCATCAGTAAACTGACACAGTGTGGGAGACTCACTAAGGGCCCTGGGCTAAGCCATTCTTAACGCAATACTCCTCAAAATTGAAGCCACTAATATAAATAAATTAGTTGTAGTTGTCTATTTTTTATTTTTTTGAGATGGAATTTTGTTCTTGTTGCCCAGGCTGGAGTGCAATGGCACAGTCTCAGTTCACTGCGACCTCCAACTCCCAGATTCAAATGATTCTCCTGCCTCAGCCTCCTCCCGAGTAGCTGGGATTACAGGTGCATGTCACCACGCCCAGCTACTTTTTTTTTCTTTCTTTCTTTCTTTTATTTTTAGTAGAGACGGGGTTTTGCCATGTTGTCCAGGCTGGTCTCGAACTCCTGACCTCAGGTGATCTGCCCACCTCAGCATTCCAAAGTGCTGCAATTACAGGTGTGAGCCACCGCCCCCGGCCTGTAGTTTGCCTATTATCTGTGATTCTGTTCTCCTCTATTTGGATGGAAAACAAAGCACTAATGATGGATGTAACCTTTGTGAGCATTTTTTCACCATGAGCATTTATTCATTCAATGAATTTGCACTGGGCAGCTACAATGGACTGCTGTAGTCACAGGGGATTCAGTGGACAGGATATGGTGCTTGCTATTATGGAGATTATATTCTGAGTAGAAGCATTAGAAACAAGCACTTAAAAAATCTACAAAGAGTGATTCTACTTACTCACTGCTCTTTTATTAACTCTCATTATATCTACCAGGACACAAGCTGAAGATGTTTACAATACCATAAAGCAGATGTCAAGATGGCTCCTGCAGGTCAGGCATGGTGCCTGATACCTGTAATCCCAGTGCTTTTGGAGGCCAAGGTGGGAGGATCAGTTAAGGCCAGGAGTTTGAGGCCAGTCTAGGCAATATATTAAGACACCATCAAGAAAGAAAGAAGGAAGGAAGGAAGGAAGGAAGGAAGAGAAAGAAAGGAGGGAGGGAGGGAAGGAGAAAGGAAGGAAGGAAGGGAAGGAGGGAGAGAGGGAGGGAAGGAGAATAGAAGGAAGGAGAGAAAGAGAGAGAGAAAGAAAGAGAAAGGAAGGAAGGAAGGAGGGAAAAGGAAGGAAAGGAAGGAAGGAAAGGTAGGAAGGAAGGAAAGGTAGGAAGGAAAGGTAGGAAGGAAGGAAGGAGGGAAGGAAGGAAGGAAAGGACGGAAAGAGGGAAGGAGGGAAGGAAGGGAAGGGAGGGGAGGGAAGGGAGGGAGGAAGGAAGGAAGGAGAGAGAAAGAAAGAAAGAGGGGAAGGAAGGAAGGAGAAGAAAAAGAGAAAAGAAAAGAAAGAAAGGAGGGAGGGAGGGAGAAAGAAAGAAAGATTAGTCCAGCATGGTGGCAGTATATGCCTGTAGTTCCAGCTACTCAGGAGGCTGAGGTGGGAGGATCATTTGAGCCCAGGAGTTGGAGGCTGCAGGGAGCCATGATCGCATCACTGCACTCCAGCCTGGGCAGCAGAGCAAGACCATGTCTGGAAAAAAAAAAAAAAACTTGCAGTCCCCCATTATTTCTAGTCTCCTGGTATCCATACCCTCATTTAGTCCCCTTCTATTAGCCTGCTCAATAAATGTCAGCTTATTTTTGGAATTTAAAGTCATAAGAATGGAAATGGATGAAATGACTTACGGAGAAAACATGGATAGAAGAAAGCTCCAAAATCTGAGCCCTTGGGACTTAGTCCATTTGGGCGGCCACAACAAAAGACCTCAGCCTGGGTGATTTATAAACTGCAGAAATGGATTGCTCACAGTTCTGGAGGCTGGGAGTCCAAGATCAAGGCACTGGCAGATTCCGTATCTGCTGAGGTCTCTGTCTATTACACAGATGGTGCCTTCTATGTGTCCTTACATGGCAGAAGAGCCAAGGGAGGTCCCTTAAGCCACTTTTATAAGGCACTAATTCTGTTCATGAGAGATAAGGAGGACCCCGCAAGAGAGACTAAGAGGGAGCATCCAGAAAGGTAGGATAAATATCAGGAAAATATGATGTCTGGAAACCAAGTAAGGTAAGTTTTCTAAGGAAGAGAGAGAGAGCGAGAGGAGATTAACTTTCAAATGCCATTGAGAGTTGCTAGGAATAACAATTAAAATGAGCAATGTGGAGGTCATCGGTGACCTTGATTTAAAAACTAACAAACAAAGAAAACAAAAACCATTCTGCCGAGGCACGGTAGCTCATGCCTGTAATCCCAGCACTTGGGAGCCAAGGTGGGAAAATTGCTTGAGCCCAGAAGTTCAAGACCAGCCTGGGCAACAGAGTGAGATCCCGTCTCCACAAAAAATAAACAAAATTAGCTGGGCATGGTGATGCATGCTTGTAGTCCCAGCTACGTGGGAGGCTGAGATAGGAGAATCGCTTGAGCCCAGGAGGTTGGGGCTGCAGTGAGCCGTGATCACGCCACTGCACTACAGCCTGGGTGACAGAATGAGACTCTGTCAAAAAAACAACTCACTGGGCGCGGTGGCTCACGCCTCCCAGCACTTTGGGAAACTGAGGCGGGTGGATCACAAGGTCAGGCGTTTGAGACCAGCATGGCCAACATAGTGAAACCCTGTCTCTACTAAAAATACAAAAAACTAGCCGGGCATGGTGGCCGGTGCCTGTAATCCCAGCTACTTGGGAGGCTGAGGTAGGAGAATCACTTGAACTTGCAGTAAACCGAGATCACGCCACTGTACTCCAGCCCAGGCAACAGTGAGAGACTCCGTCTCAAAACAAAACAAAACAAACAAACAAAAACTTGTCAGTAGTGTTAAGAGAAAGAACCTCTTTGGAATGCGTTAATGAATGAGAAAACATAAACTGAAAGCAGTACCTAGACACATCATTTTGAAAGAATGTTGCTATAAAAGGAAGGTGATAGATGAGGTAGCAGACGGAGGGGTAAGTGGAGTCAGGAAGGAATCGTTTTTGGGATGGGGGAAATAAGAGTATGCTTTATGAGGATTAGTATAATATGGTAACAAGAGGAAATTTTATAGCACAGGGGAGGGACAGAATTGCTAGAGTGATGTCCGTGAGTAGGAGAAGGTTGGATGGGATCACGGGCTTTGGGAAGAGGGTCAATTCATCCACACCAGCAAGGGAGAAGGGAGCGTATATGGGCACAGAGGTTAGTGTGCTGGTGGGAGCTTGTGGCACTTGTGATCACTTTACTCTTTACCAACCTCCAGAACTGTGAGAAAATAAACTTCTGTTGCTTAAGCCAAAAACAAAACAAAAAAAGACACCTCTTATTACTGGTCAGATGACTGTGTTTGCTGAATCAACTGAAAAGCTTTGTCTGAACAACCCCCTACAGGCTGTCATTTGGCGGAGAATGTGAGAGCCTTCGATAAACTTATCCGGGACCTCCCTGTCGTCTTCTTCTCACTGAAACCTGGCTCCCTGGGACTCGGCCTTCCCTGAGCATCTCAAATGGTGTTTTCTCTCCTATAACCTTTGTGCCACTGAAACTAGGGGTGGAGTAGGTCTCTTCCTCATTCCTCATCACTGCTTCAAACCATCTTCCCTTTCATCTTCACAGATACATCCAGCTACAAATCTCACGCCATTATCAGACTCTTCCACACATTTTTCCACTTCGTAAGCAGTCATCTTCTGGGGTCACACCCCCATTCCTTGCAGAGATACACTGCCACTCTAGGCAATACACTTCTGCCCCAATTCCTGGTGATTTCAATGTCCACTTAGACGACCTCTCCTCCAATGACCCCCTTGTCCGCCCTACCTCAGCGGCTCACTTCTGTGGTCATATCCTTGACGTTGCAACCAAGTAACAACAACCCTGACATAACATCAATTGCCACAACTCACTCTCCTCCTCACCACCATCTTGGCATTCTCCCTCTCATTTCTCCAACTCCAACAATACTTTGACCCCATTGGGACTTCACTTATGATCCTATCACCATTTTGCTTCTTTCAATGCTACCATATCCGTTCTTCCCTTCTTATTCAGCTAAACTCTGTGGTCAGTTATTATCATGACTTCTTGCTTGAACCCTGAGCTCTCTTGCCCTCTCTTCTCCGTCACTTCAGGCGGCTCCACCACAACCCTGATGAAATCCAACTCTGCCTGTTCCACGCTTGTCCCTATAGAAAAGCATCCAACCCTGCAGAATGTTTTAAATTTGTGGTCACTCACCTATGTGGGCCTTGTTCATTCTCCCTGTTTCCTAGAAAATTATTTCATCACTTATTCCTCCCCAAGCCTGTAAACACCCATCCTCCTGTCAGCTGTCACTGTCAGCTGATAACATGCACGGTGGCTCATGCCTATAATCCCAGCACTTTGGGAGGCTGAGGTGGGAGGATCACCTGAGGTCAGGAGTTCGAGACCAGCCTGGCCAACATGGCAAAACCCTGGTCTCTACTAAAAATACAAATTTAGCCAGGTGTAGTGGCACGTGCCTGTAATCCCAGCTACTCGGGAGGCTGAGGCAGAAAACTTGCTTGAACCTGGGAGGTGGAGGTTGCAGTGAGCTGAGATCATGCCACTGCACTCCAGCCTGGAAGAAAATGAGACTCTGCCTCAAAAATAAAATAAAATAAAATGAATAAAATTAAAAAATAGACTTGTGACAATGGAACATAGTAGCTCTGGCACATAGTAGTTGATTAAAAAAATAGTAGCTGCGATTTTTGCACTTGCAATGGTTTATGTTATTCAATTAATCAACCAGGATTGAAAACCAGGTTATCAGGTGGGCCAAGGAAAAGGTCAGAAGAGGTGCCGTCCACAGAGACAAATCTGAGCAGAGGTCTGAATGAGGGGAGGAGGGAGCAGGAGCTGCTTGAGGGGGCTGAGGGGTCTGGAGGTGGGGTGGGGGAGGGGCGATTTAAGGGTGGAAGAGAGCCACAGGCACTGAGGTCGCCTGCTCCACGGCTCCACCTGGTGGAAATCATCCTTGCAGAGCTCAAGCTACAGACAAACCCAAGGAAAAAAGATGTAATACTCAAATATTGCAGCCAATACTTCTGTTATAAATGTTTTTAATGTAGTGGTGTTCTTCTAATTATTACTTGTCTTTCGGAAGTACACATTTAAATGTTTTTGCACCTTTGTTCTTAGATCATTTTGCAGCATCAACTTTTCTCCCTGGGGTTCCTGAGCCCCCTTTTCTCTAGCCTCGGAGGCAGAATATTTGTGGAGTCGAATCAGCCCTGCTCAGTAGTCCAGCAAACTCTTTTCTTTTTAAACTAGTATCTCTGCAAGCAAACTCTTCTTCCACATCCCACAACCCAACTCCTCATCCCCACAAACACAAAGGCACCTCGCACCACACCTTACTGCTGCTTCTCGGCCCCCAGCGCACACTCCCTTTGCTCTGCGACATTGCACCTGGGAGCTCCACAGCTGCGCTTCTGCCTTGCCGGCTGGCTTGGGTTCTATTCTGGCGGAGATTTGAAGGCAGGAGGAGGAGGGCAGGACTGCCTTTTTCTGGTTTGAGCGCTGTCCCTGCAATGGCGCTTCCCCCTCAGCAGCAGCTGGTTCCAGCCTCCGTTTCCCCTCAGCGCTAACGTCATTGCTCCCCCTAAACAGATCAGCAGCAGCCGTGTGCCCTTCTCGGAGGTCTGAGCCCCAGCTTCATAGGGCCATGTATTAGCTTCCTAGGGGCCGCCGTAACCAATGATCAGAGATGGTGTCATTTAAAACAATAGAAATGTATTCGCTCACAGCTCTGGAGGCCAGAAGTCAGAAATCAACATGTTAGCAGGGCCGTGCTCCCTGTGAAGGGTCCAGGGAAGAATCCTTCCTCGCCTCTCCTGGCTTCTGTGGTTGCCAGCAATCTCTGGCGTTCCTTGGCCTGTAGCTGCAATACTCCAAGCTCTCTGCCTCTGTCTTCGCACCATGTCCTTCCCCTTGTGTCTTCTGTGTCTTTCCATGGCCTTCTGATAAGAACACAAGTCACTGGATTTAGGGCACACTCTAATCTAATAGAACATCTTTTTTTTTTTTTTTTTTTTGAGACGGTGTCTCACTCTGTCGTTAGGCTGGAGTGCCCTGGTGCGATCTCGGCTCACTGCAAGCTCCGCCTCCCGCGTTCAAGTGATTCTCCTGCCTCAGCCTCCGGAGTAGCTGGGACTACAGGAGACTACAGGCGCCCGCCAGGCCTGGCTAATTTTTGTATTTTTAGTAGAGACGGGGTTTCACCATGTTGGCCAGGATGGTCTCTATCTCTTGACCTCGTGATCCACCCACCTCGGCCTCCTAAAGTGCTGGGATTAGAAGCGTGAGCCACCGCGCCTGGCCTAGTAGAACATCTTAACCTGATTACATCTGCGAAGACCCTATTTCCAAGTAAGGTCACTTTCAAAGGTTCCAGGTAGATGTCAATTTTTGGAGACTACTCCTCAACCCGTGATTGCCTCCTCCACCAAGTCTCTCAGTTCCAATAACTCCAGACTCTTCTCTTTAAGGGAAGAGTTATTCTAACCCTTAGAATAACTTCTAACCCTTAAGGGAAGAAGTTATTTTATATTAGCATGGTGCTTTATTTCATTTTGTTTGATGTTTGTTTGTTCCGCTCTTCAACACGTGTTACCAATTACCTTTAGTGAATTCCCTCCATTGAAATAACATTATGTGGTTTCTTCTTTCCTGATTCAACCCTGACACAGTGCTTGTTACCGGGAGAGGTTCTAGGAAACAAGACTATCAAAAATGAGAGTCTATAATCCCAGCACTTTGGGAGGCTGAGGCAGGTGGATGGCTTGAGATCAGAGTTCGAGACCAGCTTGGCCAACATGGAGAAACACTGTCTCTACTAAAAACACAAAAATTAGCCGGATGTGGTGGTGCACACCTGCAGACCCAGCTACTCAAGAGGCTGAGGCATGAGAATCGCTTGAACCCTGGAGGTGGAGGTTGCAGTGAGCCATGATCGTGCCACTGCACTCCAGCCTGGGCCACAGAGTGAGACTCTGTCTCCAAAAAAAAAAAAAAATACTGTAACGCAGAGTGACATGTGCCTGTAGTCCTAACTACTCAGGAAGCTGACACAGAAGTATTGCTTGAAGCCAGGAGTTTGAGTCTTGATATGGTTTGGATCTGTGTCCTCACCCAAATCTCATGTTAAATTGTAATCTCCAGTGTTCGAGGTGGGGCCTGGTGGTAGATGATTTCTTCATGGGGACAGTTTCTCATGGTTTAACACCACTGCCCCTTGGTATTGGAAGGTGAGTGATATCTGGTTGTTTAAAAATGCACGGCACCTCCCCACCACCTCTTCCTCTTGCTCCCAGCCATGTGAAGTGTTGGCAACCCTGCTGCCCTCCGCCATGATTGTAAGTTTCCTGAGGCCTCCCCAGAGGCCAAGCAGATGCCAGAATCATGCTTCCTGTACAGCCTGTGGAACCGTGAGCCAATTAAACCCCTCTCTCTCTCTCTCTCTCTCTCTCTATATATATATATATACATATATATATTACCTAATCTCAGGTATTTCCTTCTAGCAATGTGAGAATAGACTAATACAAGGCTGAAGTGCACTATAATCGTGCCTGCAAAGAGCCTCCATCCTGGGCAATATAGCAAAACCCCATCTTTATAAAAAAAAAAAGAGATTCTGGGATTAGCTTGGAAATGCCACTTGCCTTAAAAAGAGTGCTGAGCTCCTTGCAAATGGGACAGTAATGCATGTCATGCCATAGCATTATGATTAATTGCAGTATCACCTCTAGTGATTGTGATGAAATGCCTAATAAAGCAACTATTAGGAGACCAGTTAGCTGCTGCACTTGACCACTTCGTTAGTAATGATTACTACCAGGGCTGTGGACTGTTGTATTAGTTTTTCTTTGCTAGATAATGAAGTACCACACACTTGGCAGCTTAAAACAACACCCACATTGGGCACGGTGGCTCACGCCTGCAATCCCAGCACTTTGGGAGGCCGAGACAGGTGGAGCGCTTGAGATCAGAAGTTCAAGACCAGTCTGGCAAACATGGTGAAACCCTGTCTCTACTAAAAATACAAAAATTAGCAGGGCATGGTGGCGGGCACCTGTAATCCCAGCTACTTGGGAGGCTGAGACAGGAGAATCGTTTGAACCCAGGAGGTGGAGGTTGCACTGAGCCAAAATTGTACCACTGCACTCCAGCCTGGGCGCCTGAGACTCCATCTCAAAACAAACAAAACACCCATTTATCAGTTCACAGTTCTGTAGGTTGTAAATGCAGTATAGTTGTGTCCCCTGCTCAGGGCCCTACGAGGCTAAACTTGAAGTGTGGGCTGGGAGCTGTCATCGGCCACTATCGGCTACCCACATTCCTTGCCACATGGCTGCCTGTCTTCAAAGACAGCAATGGAGAATCTAGTTTGCTTTGAATTTCTCTCATGCTTTAAATCTCTGCCTTCCTCTTTCTCTGACCCATAGACCAGGATTTAGAGGGCTGATATGATTAGGTCAGGCCCACCTGGATGATCTCCCTTTTGATAAACTCATAGTCAACTGATTAGTACCTTTAATTACATCTACAAAATTTTTTTTGTCTCAAAATATAACACAATCATGGTATTAATATCCCATCCTATTCACGGGCTCCACCTACACTTTAGGGGAGAAAATTATACAAGTTCTCTACACCATGGGTGAGAATCTTTGGAACCTTCTTAGAATTCTGCCTACCACAGATGGTGTATTTTGGACTACATTGAAGAGCTTACAGGGGAACAAAAAGATAGGCTTAAAACACTGAACACAGAGAACCAGAGTGTGTCTATGGTACTCCTTAAAAAATTTTGCTATTTTGTGTGGCTGCAAGGTTACCCTCATTGAAAATAAGAACTTGTGTGGGTTGCAGAATTATAACATAAGTTGACTTCGCAGACTTGCCAAGTCTCCTGCCAAGAGCACTGATTGGGAAGGATAGACACATCTGGGTAAACTTAGATAAAGCTAAGAATTTTGAATCCCTGATTCACTGTGTATTTCTTGCCAGGAGAAGCAACGCTTCTTCATATGTGTAAGGAAATTAGCTTTCTCTTGCTTGAAAACCTTATAATGACTTTGAGGCAGTTATCTTGCAAGAGGATGCCTATTCTCCCCAATATCCGCTCCTTCACTCTTCATTGCTTTCAGACTTTTAATGGAGTCAGAGCTCAGCCTATTTCAGAGAGAAAAGTACAACACATGTCCCAGGAAGAGATAATTCATTTTTCAAAAAATTGCAAGCTTTTGCTAACATATCTTGGCAGGAACCTAAAAAATATATGTTGGGATGGATTCTAAAGGTTATAGAACAGATTAACATTGCATTTGGTCAGTTTATTAATGGGGATGCGCTTACTGGGGAATCTGGATTTCATGTGTCCACTCAGGCATCTAGAATTGGCTGTAACAATTTGATGGATTCAGTGGGCAAAACTTGGATTCAACGGTTGCCTATATCCAATAAAGTTAAGTTGTCAGACTTTCCTGGTGTGATGTCAAGGGAAGAATCTAAAAGCAAAAGGGAAAAGGAATGCTGCAGTGGACAGAAATGTTAACCAGGAGCCACCCCCGCCCCAAACTCACACTCTGAGATGGCCCAGAGGATGTTCTCTTCACTCTGTGTTTTGATATGAACCATGAAGTGTCCCAGATATTACCCCACTTGCACAATTATGTATTAGCATACGTGAATATGACAGAAAACACATGGCACCTGGGTCAGGGAAAACTATATTGATAATCTTTCCTTGAAGAGGATCTTGATGTCCGCCTCTACTAGGTCCACCACTGTGCTGCTCAAATCTACTTCATCTACATCTGGGGAGCAGCTCCTCCAGCCTTCCAGTGGGCCTCTCTTCCTGGAGGAAATGTAAAAGTAGATGGCTTAGAAGCACAAGCTACAACACCTGCTGCTGCAGCTGGTCTCAGGGCAATGACTGATACTTTTCATTTTCCTCCCCTAATCCCCAGTCTAGATTCCCCCTCACCTCTGCAGCTTACCTCCTGGCTTATCCAGTGGTGTGACCCTGGTCCTCATTCCCATGGGGTCTGAACTCTGGCCACCATGCCCTTCCCAAAAGTGTTCCTGCACTTGTCTGTCATCACAACTGGCCACGGGAGTACCATGGGTTGCAAAAGTGGATCAGTGGTGCCACACGTCTTCCCTACCCTCATAGTGGAACCACAGCCTTTCTTCTCCTGCTGATCAGGGTCAATTAGCCCTGCCAAGACTGTGACTCTTCTCTTTTATTGCTGGTCCCAATTATAAGAAGCCCAAAATCCCCAGGCAGCAGGCATAGCTGCAATGTAGTGGAGACTTTTGCTGTGTCCCCTGATAAAATTATGCCCCCTTTTGACCAGGATTTCTAGCACTGCAGAAAGAGAGGCTGCAGGGACAGGAAGCAAGACACTTCTGCTTCATCCCTTGGTTCATGACCAATATATTCTTCCTACTGGGGAGCCATCTCCTTATCAATGCTGTGTGATTCAATGTGTATGTGCCATCCTGGAGATGATGTCTCATTCTCATGGAGTGTTGCCTCTAAGCTGGTACTTTAACGGGGCCATCTACAAGTTATTCCAATGCCTTATAAGTCTGTAGCTTCTGGATGATGTGACAGGTGATACAGTCAGTTGACATCATGGTCATAGGCTTGGCTGGTCTGACTCAATCCTGGTGAATCAACATTCCTTCAACCTTCAAATAGTGGTACCAGAGGAGGCTCCATGGCAGGAAAGGTCAACCTATGCCTGCAACACATGCCTATTCCTCTTAGAACAAATCTCTGTCTTCCCAGAATAGAAACAGCCCAGTGTAGTCAACTTGCCACAAAGCCATCAGTTGGTCTTCTTGTGGAATGGTGTCATATCAACAGATCTGCATCGGGCTCCCTTGCTGAAAGTTTTGACATTCCACAGCAGCAGTAGCTAAATCACCCTTGGAAGTTGTTTTTCTGCTCACTCATGTGGCTGCTGTCAGTTGGGAGCTAAGCTGGGATACCTCGGTTCTGCTCCCCATGGCTGTTTTCCCCACATGGTGTCTTGTCCTCCAGGGCCTCCTTCTACAGCAGGATAGCCTTGCAGAATCGGGGCAACAGGTTTGGAAAGAACAAGCCCAATGTGCAAGCACCGATTAAGCCACACTTGCATCATGCTCTGGTGTCCTATTAGCCAAAGCAAGTCACATGAATGAGAATGAGCTTTTCCTCAAAGCATAAGAAACTAGGCCAAAGCAAACAACAAAAGGATCTTAGACAGACAGACACACACACACACACACACACACACACACACACACACACACAGAACTTCTCTTTCTCTCCTTTTATTTATTTACTTGACCACATCATCTGCTAAAACGTTAAAAGCAAATAAGATGCATTTTCCATTTTGTGATTTTAGAAAAATTTACATTATTACAATAGTAGTACATTCTTGCCTGTGAGTGTAGGTGATTGATTGTATGCAATGCAGTTCTGCTCAGAGCATGAAAGAGGCTGCAGGGAATTACAAAAGCAATTTCATTTACAATAGTATCAAAAAGAATAAAATACTTGGAAATAAACTTAACCAAGAAGACAAAAGACTGTACGCTAAAACTTTAAAACATTGCTGAAAGCACTTAAAGAAGACACAAATAAATGGAATGACATCTGTGCTCATGATTGGAAGACTTAGTTTTGTTAAAATGTCAACACTACCCAAAACAATCTTAATGTAATCATTTAGCAAATGATTATGACTATGATTTCATATTTGTTGGGGGCATAAGAAAATCATATGCATTATGATTACATTAAGCAAACAATGTAATCCCTATTAAAAAATCCAATTAAAAATTTATCCTAAAATTTATGTGGACTCTCAAGGGACCCTGGATAGCCAAAATAAGCTTGAGAAAGAAGGACAAAGCTGGAGGCATCACACTTCCTGATTTCAAAATATATTACAAGACGAGAATCGCTTGCCAGGAAGCGCAGGTTGCAGTGAGCTGAGCCTAGATTGTGCCACTGCACTCCAGCCTGGGCAACAGAGCAAGACTGTCTCAAAAAAAATTTTATGTATGTATAAATTTTATGTATACATAAAAATTTTTATACATACATAAAATTTTTTAGACAGTCATATATGGTAACAATAATCAAAACAGTGTGGTACTGGCATAAAAACAGACACATAGACCAATGGAATAGAAGAGAAAGCCCAGAAGTAAACCCTTGCCTATATGATTGAATGACTTTTTACATGGGTGTTGAGACCATTCAATGGAGAAAGGGGTCTTTTCAACAAATAATATTGGGAAAACATGAATGTCCACATGCAGAAGAAGAAAGTGGGACCCTTACCTTACACCGTTTGTAACAATTAACATAAAATAGATCAAAGACCTAAATGTAAGGCCTAAACTATAAAATTTCTAGAAGAAAACATAGAGGGAAAGCTTTACAATGACATTGGATTTGACAATGATTTCTTGGTTGTGTTACCAAGAGCACAAGCCACAAAAATAAAATAGATAAATGTTTTGTTTGTTTGAGACAGGGTCTTGCTCTGTCACCCAGACTGGAGTGCATTGCCATAATTATGGCTCACTGCAGCCTTAACCTGCCAGGCTTAAGCAATCCTCTCATCTCAGCTTGTCGAATAACTGGGATCACAGATGCATGCCACCACACCTGGCTAATTTTTCTGTGTTTTAGTAGAGGCAAGGTTTTGCCATGTTGCCCAGGCTGGTCTCAAACTCTTAGGCTCAAGCAATCCACCCACCTCAACCTCCCAAAGTGCTGGGATTACGGGTGTGAGCCACCAGGCCCAGCCATAAAATAGATAAATTATACTACATTAAACTTAGAAACTTCTCGGCATCAAAGGACACAATCAACAGAGTGAAAAGGCAACCAATGGAATGGGGAAAAAATGTTTGCAAATCATACATCTGATAAGGTGTTAATATCCAGAATACATAAATAGCTCCTACAACTCAACAACAACAAAAACAAAACTATCTGATTTAAAAATGTGCAAAGGAGGTGCAGTGGCTCAAGCTTGTAGTCCCAGCTACTGGGAGGCCAATGTGGGAGGATCACTTGAGCCCAGGAGTTGGAGACCAGCGTAGGCAACACAGCAAGTGATATAGCTTGGCTGTGTCCCTACCCAAATCTCATCTTAAATTGTAGTTCCCATAATTCCCATGTGTCATGAGGGAACCAGTGGGAGGTAACTTAATCATAGAGGCAGGTCTTTCCTGTGCTGTTCTTGTGATAGTGGATATCTCACAAGATGTGATGGTTTTATAAAGGGAAGTTCCCCTGCACACACTTTCTTGCCTGCTGCCATTTAAGATGTGACTTTGCTCCTCCTTTGCCTCCCTAGCAATGTGGAACTGTGAGTCAATTAAACCTTTCTTTTATGAATTACCCAGCTTCAGGTATGTCTTTATGAGCAGTGTGAGAGCAGACTAATACAGCGAGACTCTGACTAAAAAAAAAAAAAAAAAAGAGAGCAGAGGACTTGAATAAATATTTCTCCAAAGAAGATAAACAAATGACCAATAACACATGAAAATATGTTTCCCATCACTAATCACTAGGGAAATGCAAATCCAAATCACAATGAGACACCACTTACTGTGTGTGTCTCCTTTTGTTTTCTTTTTTCCTTGGGCTGCATCTGGGTCCTGGTAATACTCCTTCCATTGCACAACTAATTCAATGTTTGAACTCTGGAAAGGAACACAAGTGGATATAAAAAGTTTAAAATTTGACATTGATAAAATAGTTGGAAATGTGCATGCAGTAGCAGCAGATTCTGGTACACTGCCTCCTGCCCCTGGGCTTGCCTCTAATTTCAGCTGCTGCTATGGTAGACAGTTCCATGAGAGCTCAGCTGCCTGCTTGCCTCAAGCCTATGCTCTACAACTCTGCTTTTCTGCCTTCTCCAAATCATGCGAGCCTCCGAAGTGCACCATGGTGCACCAGATGCATGGAATTAATGCATCTGGTGGCAATCTTCCCATGATAGAGGATGAGAGCCAATGACAAGTGCCCCAGCTCCCAAATGCTGGGAGGAATTCTGTACACTTCTTAGAGGTGCTGGTGGAATCAGCCCCTGTTGCTTAGAGCAGCAACCTGGAGAACGGCCATATAGTTAAGCTCCTTTTACTCTAGAAAAAGATAACAAAAGGTTGAAAGCAATTACCAAGCAATTGAAATCTGAGTATGAATGCCAGAGAACCTCTTTGGAAGTGTACAGAGAAACTCTCTTTTGCATTGGGAGGCCAGAGAAAGCTGAGGACCAGGGCTAAGAATTAATCATCTGAGACCAAAGAAGGTGACACTCCCAACCATGCCAGATCTGCTGTGTCAAGTTCAGGGCCCTGATTGGGGAAGAACAGGACTGTGAAATACAGGATGCAAACATCTGTGTTGATGCCCTACCCCTTGAAATTCTAGTTTCCTCTAGACCCTCCAACCCCACAAATGTGGGCTATCCCTCCATAGCAAGAGCCAGCCCACCCCCGGCCCCATTGCTTGAAGACAATGCAGAGGCCTCTTCCCTTCAAGACACTTGTGCCCTCCACCCAGGATGAGCCCCAGCTTCTTTCCCGGATACTAGTATAGGTTTAAATTCCAGCATCACCCAGCTGAGGTTGCACTGGGCCTTATAAGGGAAGAAAGGGCTTAAACTCAAAGAGAGCTGATGACCCAGCTAACAGGTACCAAAAGTGTCAGGGGGTATGAATAAGACTGGATTCTTGGGGTACTTGGTCAAGGGGGCCAGAACATAAATGTGGATGGGGGAGAGTCTACTGACTGGAGAGCCCTGGCCAAAGATATAGGATTTAACCCCCGAGTAAAGACCCCAGGAGATGGTGTACATTTGGAACTAAGATGACATAGTGAGTTTGGTGCCCTCCACCCCACCCCCTGCAAACCCAAAAGAAATGTCCACATCCTAATCCCTAAAACCTGTGAAGGTGACCTTATTTGGGAAAATGGTCTTTTCAGAATTAAGGATCTTGAGATGAGATCATCCTGGATTATATGGGTGGGCCCTAAATCCAGTGACAAGTGTTTTTATAGGAGACACATAGATAGATAATGGAGAACAGGGGGAAGACCATGTGAAGGCAGAGGCAGAGACTGAAGTGATATGGCCACAAGCCAAGGAATGCTGGAAACCACCAGAAGCTGGAAAAGGCAAGGAACCGATTCTCCCCCTAAAGCCCTGGTGGGAGTGTGGCCCTGATGACACCTTGACCTCTAGGACTGTCAGAGAACAGTTTCTGTTGTTTTTACACCATCCAGTTTGTGGTCATTTGTTACGGCAGCCACAGACGCTAGTACAGATGGCTTTCGGACCATGGAAAAAGAGGATGCCCATGCTAGGTAATGTTAAAATGTCAGAAGTGCCAAGTCAGACAGTGGATTAAGGGATTGTAAGACTCAGGGAGGTGTGTATGATCAGTGAAGTGCCATCCAAGACCAGATCACTTACCAGATATTTATGCTCCACAGGAAGGCTCAGAGAAAACATCCTCCACCAAGACGTAAAGCACCCACATCACTCGGAAGCTCAGTGGTGGCTCTACTCTGCCAGCCTGGGCAGACAGTTGGAAGGGTTCAACAGAGCTGGGCTTACTGATAGCAAGTGGGATGACAAGACCCTAAAATAGGAGAACTACGTGGTGGCACATAATCCTCAGAAGCCAGGTGGAAGCCATGACCGCAATCAGGGAAAAGCTCAGAAAAGCAGCTGAGGGAGCCTGGACCACAGAGAGCTATGGAGATAGTTCATAGAGGACCACATCCCTAGCAGCAAAATACACAGGCAGACAGGGGTGCTTCTCAACCTGTGTCATAGGAAGAAATCCAGGATGGATAATGAGCAGACTAAGGATGGGTGCTCCTACAAAAGTCAGGACCACCTGCCCAGTTTCTGAATATGCGCCAGATTTCAAACCCTGAAGCCCTTGACTGGGAGGAGGGCCAGGTATCTAACAGAAAGACCCTGTAACACCCTGGCAAATGGGCACAGTCATGATTTCCTGAGTCCTTCTGCAAGGGGACCTAAGATCTCACAGAACTGTTCACCAGGGAAGGGGAAATACTCAAGTATTTGAAGTATTTTGGAGGACTGTTAGAACAGGGTCAGAAGTGACATTGATACCCTGAGACCTGCCACAGCATTGCAGCTGCCCGCACTCTGCTTCTGTGGGGCACATGGTGACCAGGTGATCCATGGAGTCCTGTCCATGGCATGGTGGCTCACAGTGGATTCAGTAAGACTACAGGCCCACCGGCAGTCATGGCCTCAGTCCACAAATGTATAACTGGGGTAAATATTCTCAGAAGTTGGCATAGCCTCCCCATTGGGTCTTTGGCCTGTGGGGTGAGGGCATTCCATGGGGAAAGCCAAGTAGAAATTTCTGAAATTGACCCTATCCACTCTGCCAAGATAGCAAACAAAAGAGATATATTGTGTGTACTTCATCTGGGGGGAGGAGGGGACAATGGGAGGATGGAGAAGAGGGCATTATGAGATGCACACAGGGAGACGGAGGGAGATGGCCAAAATTGGTGCTACCCGTAAGAATCGAAAACATGGTGGATTGGTGCTCCTTGTAACATCTACATTTATTTGTTTTGAGTCAGAGTTTCGCTCTGTCACCCAGGGTAGAGTGCAGTGGCATGATCTCGGCTCACAGCAACCTCCACCTCCCAGGTTCAAGCGATTCTCATCCCTCAGCCTCCCAAGTAGCTGAGGCTACAGGCGTGCACCACCATGCCTAGCTAATTTTTGTATTTTTGTAGTAGAGACAGTTTCACCCTGTTGGCCAGGCTGGTCTCGAACTCCTGACCTCAGGTGATCCAACTGCCTTGGCCTCCCAAAGTGCTAGGATTACAGGCATGAGCCACTGTGCCAAGCCATCCATTTCATTAACCAGTCTGGATCATGAGGAATCCTGGTTTGTCTTGGGATAGTAGATTATGCAACTCAACCAAGTAGCAGACCCAAATTGGGCCAGATACGGCACGCTGGCTGGAAGAGATGTGTGCAGGCTCAAGTACATGGTATGCAGCCGTTGATTTTGCATTTGATTTTGATTGTGTTCTTTTCTATCCCCATCAGGAAATATGATCCAAACCAGTTTACATTTTCATTCATTCTTATTATTTTGCAGTTCACAATGCACATTCACAATTTTGTCCCAGGGCTAAGTTAACTCTCATGTCTCTGTCAT
Organism: Homo sapiens; assembly: GCF_000001405.40. Classification (NCBI taxonomy): domain Eukaryota; kingdom Metazoa; phylum Chordata; class Mammalia; order Primates; family Hominidae; genus Homo; species Homo sapiens. The sequence continues at coordinate 10,478,116 of NC_000006.12, forward strand.
GATACAATAAAGAGATTTAAACTCTGGGGACCTTGTGCAGAACATCACAATGATCCACTACATAGTAGCCTTTCCTAAGGGTCACTGAGTACCCGATTTACTGACATGGGATCCAGAGTAACAGTGCCTAGGACATTCTAAAGAGAATGAGGTGAGGCAGGGGGCGCATAACCAGGGGACCTGCTGATCCCGACCATACACTTCATCACCCAAAAAGCTACTGACCTGATGGGAGTTGAGATGAACCCCTGGGTTGCCACTATGCCTACAGCTTGGGGATGACACCCCACAGGGCCAGGCACTGTCCTTCAACATGTGGAATGTACTTTGCCCTTTATATGGTTCCAAAGTATTTCAGTGATACTGAATCAGAAACACGGGGCTAGTATCTTCCTCTGTTTCCAGTTTGTAGCTTTTGATGTTGATCTGAAATGACCGCCCAGCAGGAAAGTTAAATGAAGAGCTAGTACATTACATGCAACACAAATCATTGTAATTCACAAGTTAACCTGCAGATGGTGCCATATTATTGCTGTCTCTTTGTTGATCTTTTTAAAAAATTACCTCCCTGACCCCTGTGGGTCCATATCTGGTTGTGACAAACTCATGAGGAAAGACCACAGTCACTGAGTCCCAAAACATTTGGAGTTGAATTTTTACTAACACTGTCTGATGTGCAACCTTCCTTCAAGAAAAAAAAAAGAGATGCTCAGGACAAATAGCTAATGCATGTGGGGCTTAAAACCTAGATGGCGGGTCGATAGTTGCAGCAAAACACCATGGCGCACATATACCTATGTAGCAAACCTGCACGTTCTGTACATGTACCCCGGAACTTAAAGTTAAAAAATGGAAAATAAAGCTTAAAAAAAATTGCTATCTAGCCCTTCACAGAAAAAGGCTGACTCCTGCTTTAGGAGAAAGCACAAAAAAGGAGGTAAAAATAAACAGTGCAATCAGACTTCTGTTGGACCCTGAGAGTTTAATTATGGAAGGTGAAGGGGGAAAAAAACAGAAGAGGAAAAGAGAGCTAAGTGGAAAAAGTCTTTGAAAATTTAGTAGGGCCAGGTGCGGTGGCTCACGCCTGTGATCCCAGCACTTTGGGAGGCTGAGGCGGGTAGATCACCTGAGGCCAGGAGTTCGAGACCAGCCTGGCCGACATGGTGAAACCCTGCCTCTACTAAAAATAAAAAAATTAGCCGGCTGTGGTGGTGTGTGCCTGTAGTCCCAGCTACTCAGGAGGCTGAGGCAGGAGAATCTCTTGAACCTGGGAGGTGGAGGTTGCAGTGAGCCAAGATCATCTGGCCACTGCACTCCAGCCTGGGCGACAGAGCGAGATTCCGTCTCAACAACAACAAAAATCTGAAATCCAAAATGCTCCAAAATCTGAACTTTTTGAGCACCAACACGATGCCACAAGTAGAATATTCCACATGTGAGAACCCTAATACAAACTGTTTCATCACAGATTTAAAATGTTATATAAAATTACCCTCAGGCTATGTGTATAAGGTACATATGAAAAGCTAAGACCAATTTTTGTGTTTAGAATTGGGTCCCATTCCCCATGATATCTTACTATGTATTTGCAAATATTTAAAAATTTGAAAAAATCTGAAATTCAAAACACTTTTGGTTCCAACCATTTCAGATAAGGGATACTTAACCTGTAGTACAAAAATGCACTTTATAAATTTTTTTCTTCAATTTTTAAGTTCAAGGGTACACGTGTAGGAGGTGCAGGTTACCTAGGTAGACGAATGCCATGGTGGTTTGCTACACAGATCATCCCATCACCTAGGTATTAAGCCCAGCATCCATTAACCATTCTTCCTGATGTTCCCCCTCCCCCTACACCCGATAGGTGCCCATTGTGTGTTACTTTCCCCCATGTGTCCATGTGTTCTCATCAATCAGCTCCCACTTAAAAGTGAGAACACGCAGTGTTTGATTTTCTGTTTCTGTGTTGGTTTGCTGAGGATAATGGCTTCCAACTCCATCCATGTCCCTGCAGAGGACATGATCTCATTCCTTTTTATGGCTGCATACTATTCCATAGTGTACATGCACCATATTTTTCAGTCTATTATTGATGGGTCTATCAGTCTATCATTTGGGTTGATTCCATGTCTTTGCTATTGTGAATAGTGCTGTAATGAACACACATGCATATGTATCTTTATAATAGAATGATTCATATTCCTTTGGGTATATACCCAGTAATGGGATTGCTGGGTCAAATGGTATTTCTGCCTCTAGCTCTTTGAGGAATTGCCACACCGTCTTCCACAGTGGTTGAACTAATTTACACTCCCACCAACAGTGTCAAAGCATTTCTTTTTCTCTGCAACCTCGCCAGCGTCTGTTGTTTTTTGACTTTTTAACAATAGCCACTCTGACTGAGAGGAGATGGTATCTCATTGTGGTTTTGATTTGCATTTCTTTAACAATAGTGATGTTGAGCTTCCTTTCATGTTTCTTGGCCCGATGTACGTCTTCTTTTGAGAAGTGTACTTTACAGATTGAAGACTCTCTAAACTTGAAAACTTTTCATTTAAAAATTTTTATACTTTTTTTTTTTAAGACAGGGAGTCTCACTCTCTCGCCCAGGCTGGAGTGCAGTGGCTCGATCTGGACTCACTGCAAGCTCCACCTCCTAAGTTCACGCCATTCTCCTGCCTCAGCCTCCCCAGTAGCTGGGACTACAGGTGCCTGCTGCCACGCCCAGCTAATTTTTTGTATTTTTAGTATAGACAGGTTTCACCGTATTAGCCAGAACGGTCTCCATCTCCTGACCTCGTGATCTGCCCACCTCGGCCTCCCAAAGTGCTGGGATTACAGGCATGAGCCACCACGCCCAGCCAAAGTTTTTTATAGTTTTTATAAGTGACCCCACTTCCACCAACCCTCTCTTTTGGACGCTGGAATCAGCTTTGGAGATTTGTGTTTGCACCCAGACTTCATTCCTTACTAGCTTGGCGCCCTGCACTAGAAACCTCCATCTCTATTCTGTAAAAGTGAAGCAATAATGCCAATCTAATTGATGGAATGAGGAATAAGCTAATCCATTCAGGCAGTTTACTTAGCAATTGTAGGAAATTAAAGCTTTTTCTCTCCTCTTGTCTCCTTTACACTAAAACAGGGTGGACTGGGCACAATTTAACCCCTCCTGAATAACACGGATGTTTTTGAGATGAGTAACTATTGCTTTTTTTTTTCCCCTGAGGTGTGGAAAAGCAGAGAAGCAGAGAAGTAGAGAAGCTTCAGAAATTGCTTTGTGAAGTTGAATGTGGATGTAAATAGGCAGCAGTTGCTGCCTCCTCCTTTCCCAAGGCTCAGCTCCCATTTCTAGTAGTTTAATTTAGAATCCAAGAAACCCTGGACCTGTGCCTTCCCTCTAAATGACAAGGAGTAATAGAAGATGAGGATAACAAGGTAAAGGTAGCTTACCTTTGCAATTCCAGCACTTTTGAGAAGCACAAAAATTACTTGAGAGCCATGACTTCAAAACCAACCCGGGGAACAGAATAACACCTGCTCACTCCCAAAAACGTAAAATGTAGCCTGACAGAGCGTCCAGACTTGGTGCGTTCGTCTCACAGACTTCACTCAGCAGATCTTTGTGGTGAGTGTTACAGCTTTTAAGAATATGTATGTGGAGATTTCTATTCCCCTCTCCCGACTTACTTATTCTTTGTTAAGTTTAATGACCTGCCTGGCCTACAGACATAAACCTACGAACCTTCATAATAAGCACTACAAAACAAAGAAAATACAAACCTAAACTGCAACAAAAATCTATTGCAAAAAACAAACACTTCCACACCACACAAAAAGTACTGCAGCTGGTTACCAGTACTGGCTCCCGCAGCCTGCTATTATACTCTTATCTGGCCCCACCCACATCCTGCTGATAGGTCCATTTTACAGAAAGCTGATTGGTCTGTTTTACAGAGAGCTGATTGGTCTGTTTTACAGAGAGCTGATTGGTCTGTTTCACAGAGAGCTGATTTGTCCATTTTGACAGGGTGCTGTTTGGTGCATGTACAATCCCTGAGCTAGACACATAGTGCTGATTGGTGTATTTGCAATCCTCTAGCTAGACATAAAAGTTCTCCAAGTCCTCCCCAGATTAACTAGACACAGAGCACTGATTGGTGCGCTTACAAACCTTGAGCTAGACACAGGGTGCTGATTGGTGCATTTACAACCTTTAGCTAGACACAAAAGTTCTCCAAGTTCCCACTAGATGAGCTAAACACAGAGCGCTGATTGGTGCATTTACAAACCTTGAGCTAGGTACAGGGTGCTGATGGGTGTGTTTACAAACTTGAGCTAGACACCGAGCGCTGATTAGTGCATTTATAATCGTTTAGCTAGACAGAAAAGTTCTCCAAATCTCCACCAGATTAGCTAGATACAGAGTGCTGATTGGTGCACCCATGAACCCCAAGGTAGACAGAGTGCTGATTGGCACATATACAATCCTCCGGCTAGACATAAAAGTTCTCCGAGTCCCAACTCTACTGAGGAAGCCAGCTGGCTTCACCTAGTGAATCCACCATCAGGGCCGTGGGCGGAGCTGCCCTCCAGTCCGGCGGTGTGCGCCCACACTCCTCAGCCCTTGGGCAGTTAATGAGACCGGGTGCCGGCGGAGGAGGGGGGCGCCCGTTAGGGGAGGCTTGGGCCGCCTGGGAGTCCACTGCGGGGGACTCGGGCGTGGCGGGCTGCAGGTCCCAAGCCCTGCCCCGCGGGAGGTGGCTGAAGCCCGGAGAGAATTCGAGCGCGGCGAGAGCGGGCCAGCGGTGCTGGGGGACCCGGCGCCCCCTCTGCAGCTGCTGGCCTGGGTGCTAAACCCCTCACTGCCTGGGGCCGGCAGCGCTGACGGCCCCTCCCAGTGCGGAACCCGCGCCCGCTGGGAACTCGCACTGGCCCGCGAGCGCCGTGAGCAGCCCCGGTTCCCGCCCAGCGCCTCTCTCTCCACATCTCGCAAGCCACACCTCCTGGCAAACACAGGGAGCAGGCTCAGGCCTCAGCCAGCCCAGGGAGGGGCTCCTACAGTGCAGCGGCAGGCTGAAGGGCTCCTCAATCTTGGCCAGAGCGGACACCAAGGCCGAGCAGGTGCTGAGAGCGAGCCAGGGCTGCTAGCACGTTGTCACCTCTCAGCATGGTGGCACGCACCTGTGGTCTCAGCTATTTGGAAGGATCACTTGAGCCCAGGAATTAGAGGTTGCAGTGAGCTGGGATGGCACCACTGCACCGCAGCTTGGGTGTCAGAGCAGCAAGACTCTGTCTCTGAAAAAAGATAAAAATAAAAGAGACAGATGAATTGTGCCCAATGGCCCTAGATGTAGGGCCTCCACTATACCACATATGGGATGGGGGCGTGAGTCACAGAATAGCATCCTTTCTGGAGTGTCCTGGCGGAGACACATGTTCTCATAGTGTAGCAGCAGAGTTACCTATTCCTCACTTCCAGCTTTTGATGGTTTTGCTATTTTTCATGTCTGTTTTTCTAATGGTTCTAGCACAGCTCTTACTAAGTCAAGTTGAGAAGCTGGCCGAGTGGCTTCCATCCCTTCGCCCTTTCTCCCCACCTGGCAGCTCCGTGGGGCAGTCAGGGGCATGGGCCTGGGAGCTGCCCTGGCTGACGTGAAAACAGGCTCCTTCCAGTGTGAAATGGGGCCAGTAATCCTTGCCGCCCCTGCTCTTAGGAGGGTTGTGTGCAGTGGCTGTTCCCTCCAGGTTTTCCAAAGTGCCCACGGAGAGTGAAACGGTGAATGAATGAATCTAAGCCAAGGCATCATGTAGGAGTCAGTGGCTCACAATAATTTGTGGTGAGGTGTGCCTGAAGATACAAAATGTGTCATTAAAACACACACAGGGGCACCGTGGCTCACATCTATAATCCCAGCACTTTGGTAGGCCGAGGTGGGCAGATTACCTTAGGTCAGGAGTTCGAGACCAGCCTGGCCAACATAGTGAAACCCCATCTCTACTAAAAATACAAAAATTAGGCGTGGTGGCACATGCCTGTAATTCCAGCTACTTTTGTTGGGTGGGGGGGCGGCGCTGAGGCAGGAGAATTGCTTGAACCCAGGAGGCGGAGGTTGCAGTGAGCCGAGATTGTGCATTCCAGGCATTCTAGCCCGGGTGACAGAGTGAGACTCGATCTCAAAACAAAAAACAAAAAAAAAACTAGCTCCACCAATTTTAATGGCTTACTAATTTTAATGCTCTTGAGAAAAACCACGTCTGGGTTGGTTCCCTCCTTTACAAAATGGAGATAACAGTTTTGTTTTTTTTTTAAGAAGGGGTTCTTGCTCTGTCACCCAGGCTATAGGCCAGTGGCATAATCATAGCTCACTGCAGCCTATAACTCCTGGCCTCAAGTGATCCTCCCACCTCAGCCTCCCAAAGCATTGGGTTACAGGCATAAGCCACTATGTCCGGCCGATATTATCTATTTTTTTAATTAAAATTTTTATTTGGGGATAACTGTAGATCCAATTGTAAAAAGTACTACAGAGAGATTCCATGTACCCTTTACCCAGCTTCCCGCAGTAAAGTTTGCAAAACTATCATACAATATTGCATCTAGTATATTAAAATGTACATAAACTACCAATTTTATTCAGTTTCACTGTTACTCATGTGTATTTTGTTCTAAATAACTATATCGCATGTGTAGGTTTGTGTATTTACTTCCCCAGCCATGACCACAAAGAACTCTGACCTCTCCTGTTGTCCTTTTACAGCCACACCTACCTGTCTTCATCATGACCCCCCTCAATGCCTGGCAGCCACAAATCTGTTCACTTCCAAAACTTTGTATTATCAATAATGTTATATACATAGAATCATGTAGGCGTGTGTGGGATTTTTTTCCACTCTGCATACTTCCTTGGAGCTTCATCCAAGTTGTTGCATTTATTGTGAATTTGTTCCTTTTGATTGCTAAGTGATAGTTTGTAGTTTGGATGTACACAGTTTAACTATTCATTAAAGGACATTTGGACTGTCTCCAAATTTTGGGCTATTATGAACAAGACTCCTATGAACATTCTTATATGGGTTTTTATGTTAATGTACATTGTAATTTCTCTGGGATAAATACCTAAGAGTACAATTGCTAGGTTAATATCTATTTTTATAGGTCTTGGCGAGCAATAAATTGAATGAGATCGTGTATGTAAAATCACTCATCTGACTTTTTTTTTCATTCCTCAACCTTCTTCCTTTCCTTCCTTTTGATGACGTTTTGGTCATAGGTTTGTGCTAGGATGAAAGTCTTGTTTAAAAAGAAAAAATGAGAGGATGGACTTCTTTTTGGAAAAGATGTAATGAACAGATGCCGTTGAGACCTGTTAGGATTTTCTGTCCTTAAGTTTCTTTCCACAGATTTTCAGAGCTTGAGTCACTTTATAATTTCAGAGAACACATCTTCGTCACCTGCTGTGGCGTAGTGACTTTAATCTAGATGATCTTGCTGGCAGCTGTGCTGGATGAACAAGTGTCTTCTGTTTTATAGGCAGCATCGTCACAAACACTGTCAGGTCAGGAAAAGAAAAAGAAACACACACCACAGCACTTTATTCCAGGCAGATTGAAAAATCTGCGTCTGCTTTCCTGACCCTAACTTTTTTATTTTTTTTTGGAATCTCACTCTGTCGCCCTGGCTGGAGCGCAATGGCACAATCTCGGCTCACTGCAACCTCCGCCTCCTGGGTTCAAGCGATTCTCCTGTCTCAGCCTCCCAAGTAGCTGGGATTACAGGCACCCACCACCACGCCTGGCTAATTTTTTGTATTTTTAGTAGAGATGGGGTTTCACCATGTTGGCCGGACTGGTCTTGAACTCCTGACCTCAAATGATCCCCCCACCTCGGCCTCCCAAAGTGCTGGGATTATAGGCATGAGCCACTGTGCCTGGCACCTTAACTTTCTTATTGGGCGTAAAGGGTAATTTTACATGTCAACGACTCGGCGGGCCATGGAGTGCCCAGATATTTGGTCAAACATTATTCTGGGTGTGTTTGTGGGGGTGTTTCTGGGTGAGATTCACCTTCGAATTGGTAAACTGAGTAAAGCAGATTATCTTCCTAATGTGGATGGATCTCATCCAATCAACTGAAGACCTGAACAGGTAAAAAAGAGGCTAAGAGAGAATTTTGCCCCTCCCAGCTACTGATCTTGGACATCAACTGTCTGAGTTGCCCTGTTGCCCAGACTGGAATGCAGCGGTGTAATCAGAGCTCACCTGGGATCAAGTGATCCTCCCACCTCAGTCTCCTGAATAGCTGCACCACAGGCATGCCACCATGCCTGGATAGTTTAAAACTTTTTGTAGGCCAGCTGCGGTGGCTCATGCCTGTAACCCCAGCACTTTAGAAGGCTGAGGCAGGCGGATTGAGGTCAGGAGTTCGAGACCAGCCTCACCAACATGGTGAAACCCTATCTCTACTAAAAATACAAAAGTTAGGCATGGTGCCTCCTACCTGTAATCCCAGCTGCTAGCAGAGGCTGAGGCAGGAGAATCACTTGAACCCAGCAAGCAGAGGTTGCAGTGAGTTGAGATCATACGCAGTCCAACTTGGGAACCAAGACCAAAAACTCCAAAAAAAAAAAAAACCAACACAACCACACACACACACAGAAAAGACACACTCCAGGGACAGGGACTCAGACTTTCCAAATAGTCTTCACAAACTTATGCTTTTCCAGGGCTGCTGGTGTGTCCAGAATTGGTCAGTGCCCGGTTTCACCGACTTCAAAAATGAAACCATGGGCCCTTAACAGTGAGTATTAAATTTCTTATAAGCGGCATGTCTGGAGCTTGCTCCTTCTAATGTTCCAATGTGTTCAGTTTTTTTCCTTTTGGTGGATTATGTAGTCTTCCTTGCTCAGAAGTGAGGCTACTAACTTTCACAGTGAATGTTATAGCTCGTAAAACTGGCACGTCTGGAGTTACGTCTCAGTGAATTTGTGGGCTCACTGGCTTCAGAAGTGAAGCCACAGACCTTCATAATGAGTGCTACAATTCACAAAAGCAGCACAGACCTAAAGACCAAGCAGAAACAAAACGAGGGAGGAGGAGGAGAAAAAGCTTCCACACAGCAAAAGTAGGTTACAGCTTATTACTACTGGAAGCTCAAGGCAGCCTGCTTTTATTCTCTCATCTGGCCCCACTCACATCCTGCTGATTGGTCCATTTTACAGAGAGCTGATTGGTCTGTTTTGACAGGGTGCTGATTGGTGCGTTTACAATCCCTGAGCTAGACACAAAAATTCTCCATGTCCCCGCTAGATTACCTAGATACAGAGTGTTGACTGATGTATTTACAAATCGTGAGCTAGTCACAGAGTGCCGATTGGTGTATTCACAATCCCTTAGCTAGACATAAAGATTCTCCAAGTCCCCAACAGATTAACTAGATACAGAGTGCCGATTGGTGCATTCACAAACCCTGAGCTAGACACAGGGTGCTGATTGGTGTGTTTACAAACCTTGAGCTAGAGACAGTGCTGATTGGTGTATTTACAATCCCTTAGCTAGACATAAAGGTACTCCATAGTCCCACACCAGACTCAGGACCCAAGCTGGCTTCACCCAGTGGATCCTGCACTAGGGCCGCAAGCGGAGCTGCCTGCTGGTCCCGCGCTGTGCGCCTGCACTTCTGCACTCCTCAGCCCTTGGGCAGTCGTATGGGATCTGGGCGCTCTGGAGCACGGAGTGGTGCTCATCGGGGAGGCTTGGGCTGTTGGGGAGGCTCAGGCTCGGCGGGCTGCAAGTCCGGAGCCCTGCCCCGCGGGGAGGCAGCTAAGGCCCGGCGAGAAATACGAGCACAGCAGCTCCTGGTCTAGGTGCTAAGCCCCTCACTGCCCCGGACTTGCGAGCCGGCGGCCGCTCCGAGTGCGGAGCCCGCTGAGCCCACAACCCGCCCGGAACTCGCGCTGGCCCGCAAGCGCTGCACGCAGCCCCGGTTCCCGCCCGGCTTGTCTCTCCACACCTCCCCGCAAGTTGAGGGAGCCGGCTCCGGCCTTGGCTAGCCCAGTAAGGGGCTCCCACGGTGCAGTGGTGGGCTGAAGTGCTTCTCAAGCGCTGCCAGAGTGGGCGCCCAGGCCCAGGAGGCGCTCAGAGCGAGCCAGGGCTGAGGGCTGTCAGCACGCTGTCACCTCTCACTGGTACAGCCCCCTTATCTCCAGGCTTTTTCCCTTCTCACCCGTTTCGCGTGCCTTTTAAGATGCGGGATTTTTCTTCTACCTGACTTCAGACTTGGTGACCTCTTTGTTAATCCAAGTCCTTGATCTCAGGAAACCCCCAAGATCTCCATTCACTCTACTCATCCCAGGCTTAGGTACCTGACCCCTCAGTGCCAGCTGTGTGACTGTTTCCTGAATCCTACTTCCAGTCTGTGGTCTCATGTTGCTTCTACCGTGCTTTAAAGGACTGCCAATGTGTGAAGCTTTTTGTATTTGATGTGTTAATGAGGTTGTGAGTTTTATTCTTTGCTCAGCCAAATGAATTTGTAAAGAGAATTATGTATTAGAGAATTTGTAAAGAGGATTATACACATATATATATGAAATACACATATATATAATCCATGTATATATACATATGATCCATAAATAATCTGTATATATATGTTTAATGAGTAACAACTATCTATTGATGAAAATGGTGGAAGTTATGTAAGATGACTTGTAAGGAGCATCCCTTCCCTGGGAGAAATCAGCACTGAATGTCTCCTGGGAGGTAGCACATTTTGATGCTGCTGCTGATGATGATGATGATGGAGAAGAGGAAGATAAGCATCTCCATTGCTTTTTATGTGCTAGGTACATAGTCTCATTTGCTCTCACGTTAATCCAGGAAACTAGGCACTGTTTTGGTCCCTGTATTAGCTAGCTTGGGCTGCCATAACAAAATACCACAGACTGCATGGCTTAAACAACAGAAATTTATTTTCTCATAGTCTGGAGCTGGAAGTCCAAGATCAAGTTACCAGCAGGGTTAGTTCCTGGTGAAGGCTCTCTTCCTAGCCTGCAGACGGCCATCTTCTCCCTGTGTCCCCACATGACCTTTCCTCTGTGACATGCTCCTGGTGTCTCTTCCTCTTCTTAGAAAAACACCAGTCCTATTGGATTAGGGCCATGCCCTTATAACCTCATTTTACCTTAATTACCTCTTTACAGACCCTATCTCCAAGTACAGTAACAGTCTGAGTTACTGGGAGTTGGGACTTCAACAGATGAAATTTGGGAGGACACAGTTCAGTCCGTAACAGTCCATCTCTTAGGAATGATGAAACTAGACTGAGATGAGATATACACCTTGCCTAAGATGATAGTAAAGACCAAAGAACAGGAATTTGAAGCCAAATTTGCTCTCATGGCCTCTTAGCCACCAGACCACCCTGCCACAGGCATCAGAACAGAGCAGCTCCACAAAGTGGGCAGGAATAGCACACGCTACCTGCCACTGCCATTCTGACTGGGGAAGAAGGAGTGCTTCCTGGCTTCTCTGGACCTGAGCTCTCACAGTCCAGCCTTACGCTCTTGAGATAGGAGCTCTGAGCTTTTGAAATAGTCCTTGCAAACCCATGCTTTGCTAGTGCAGGAAAGATGCTGTTTGCTGATGTCTTAATGAAACACAACCTAAGCATTGATTACTGTTTACGTGCGGACATGTGTCAGGAAGAAAAGGCATTAAAACTCTTGTGGGGGAAGCCTGTCCAAGGTGGAAATGAGCCCAAGATTCCCAGTATTAATCTGATGCCCCAGGTGTTTGTCAACTTTAGTTTATCTGGAGAGTGGAACATTTGTGTTGGTGTTTCTATCCAAATCTTTCCAGGCCCAAAGGCTCAACATTTTTTTTTTGTGGAGACTTCCCCAATCTCTGGGGTTCTCAACTGCTCTTGAGTTCTTTTAAAGGAGGGGTCCCCAATCCCTGGGCCACAGGCAGGTACCAGTCTGTGGCTTGTTAGGAACCAGGTACACAGCGGGAGGTGAGTGGCAGGTTTGCGAGCATTACCACCTAAGCTCCACCGCCTGTCAGATCAGTGGTGGTATTAGATTCTCACAGGAGCATTAACCCTATTTTGAACTGCACATGCAAGGGGTCTAGGTTGCACATGCCTTATGAAAACATAATGCCTGATCATCTGCGGTGGAACAGTTTTATCCCAAAACCATCCCTGCCCTCATCCATCCTCATCTGTGGAAGTCCCAACTCCCAGTAACTCATCCATGGAATGTCTTCCACGAAAACCAGTCCCTGGTGCCAAAAAGGCTGAGGACCACTACTTTTAAGACCCTCTGTCCAGGCCCCACCTTCAGATGCTGACCACCCAGTGCCTTAGACTTCATTTGTTCATCTGTGTTAAATTGAAGGCTTTTTTTTTTTTTAAACGAGGGGCTCTGGGCTTGCAATGTGTTCTTGTGAAATGAATGAATGAATGAACAAATGGCTTTAGAAATCAGACAATTATATTTCCCTAAAGTTTTTGAAAGATTCCATAAAATAAAAAGACTATTTGGAAGCACAAAACCAGGGAAAATTGCCTTGGTTTCTCATTACCTACTGGCAGGGGTTGCTCAGAGCTGAGCGGTATAGAATAGACAGACCTGGATTTACTATGCTTTATCTTACCTGATATTCAAAACTATCTTACAAGTGGAATACTAGTAACATCTCGCCACCCCCCAACCCTTTTTTTTTTTTTTTTGGAGACAGAGTGTAGCTCTGTTACCTAGGCTGGAGTGCAGTGGCGCAATCTCGGCTCACTGAAACCTCTGCCTCCTGGGTTCAAGAGATTCTCCTGCCTCAGCCTCCCGAGTAGCTGGGACCAGAGGCACGTGCCACCACACCCGGCCAATTTTTGTATTTTTAGTAGAGACGGGGTTTCACCATGTTGGCCACGCTAGTTTCAAACTCCTGACCTCAGGTGAACCACCCGCCTCAGCCTCTCAAAGTGTTGGGATTACAGGCGTGAGCCACCGCACCCAGCCAGCATCTCCCTTCAATGGATAAGGAAATCAGAGCTTCCAGAAGTTAAGTGAGGTTTGCGGACACTTTATTGTTGGGCACAAACTCAACAAGTCTGACTCTAGTGTAACTGGTAACTCCCATGCCAACATGGAATTCAGAGCCTCTAGTGGTGGGATTTCTTGCAGGCCCTGTCATCCCTGGGCTGAGGTTCTTGTGGAAGGTCAAGGTGGCTGGGTGGAACTTGGCAGTGTGGTCAATCAACAGCGCATGGGCATTGAAATTAGGATACTTAGATTCAAAACAGATCTCTCACTTTCTGATTTAGGGCAAGTTACTTGACTTCACCTGCCTCCATTTTCTCAATTGTAACGTGGAACCGAGAAATGACAATGTGCCAGCAGCCCTCCCTCGCTATCGGCGCCTACTCTGGCCGTGCTTGAGGAGCCCTTCAGCCTACCGCTGCGCTGTGGGAACCGCTCTCTGGGGTTGGCCCAGGCTGAAGCCAGCTCCTTTGCTCGCAGGGAGTGTGGAGGGAGAGCCGCGGGCGGGAGCCGGGGCTGCGCGCGGCGCTCGTGGCCGGCGCGCGGTCTCGGCAGTCGCCGAACTTCACTGTCAACTGACGTCTGCTGGGCTTGACTAGGGAAAAAGCTCCCTCTGGGCTGCCAGAGTGCCCGAATTGGGTGCTGCAAAGTGCCCCAGCGCCTGCCGGTAAGAGGTGAAACCGGCTGGGTTTCTGGGAGGGGTGCGAACTTGGAGAACTTTTGTGTCTAGCTAAAGGATTGTAAACTCACCAATCAGCATTCTCTGTGTCTAGCTAAAGGTTTGTAAAAGTACCAATCAACACTCTGTGTCTCGCTAATCTTGTGGGGACTTGGAGAACTTTTGTGTCTAGCTAAAGGATTGTAAACGCACCAGTGAGCACTCTGTGTCTAGCTAAAGGTTTGTAAACACACCAATCAGCACCCTGTCAAAAATGGACCAATCAGCATTCTGTAAAATGGACCAATCAGCACTCTGTAAAATGGACCAATCAGTTCTCTGTAAAATGGACCAATCAGCAGGATGTGGGTGGGGTCAGATAAGGGAATAAAAGCAGGCTGCCTGAATCAATAAGGATAACTGGTTTACGTCTGTTCTTTGTGTTGCTATAGACTTGTTGTTTGGGTTTGTGTTATCTTTTTGATCTGCAGGACTAATAGTAAAAGTCTGTAGCTTCAGTTATAGACTAAGATTACTACTCTGCCAGAAGTAGTGAATAAAGAATCAACTGGGTGGGATGAATCACGGTAGGTGTTCTATGCTTAAGAGCTGGGAGGTTTACCATCTCTGTCTGTAGCTTTGGTCGTTAAAGCAGCGGGATTCTGAAAAAAAGCTGTAGCACTCAGTGGGAAAGTAGGTAGCTTCAGTTTTTAAGTTAGTGAGATTAGGAAGGTGTGTAATGCTCCCAGTCCACTCAATGTGAAGATCTGTAATGTCATTCCTGAAGTCAGTAAGAGCACGAACCCACTATAGAGAAGAAACAAAAGAGGCAAACCCACCAGAGAGAAGAAACTTTGAGCACATCTGAACAGAAGAAATAAACTGGGGTCACATGTTTAACAATTGTAATTCTGTGAGGGTCCACAGCTTCATGCTTGAAGTCAGACTGAGAACCCACTAATTCCACACGCAGTTGTGAAAACTATAGAGGATTTTTTTTTTCTTTTGACAGTTTCACTTGTGCTGCCCAGGCTGGAGTGCAGTGGCACTATCTTGGCACACTGTGGCTTATGTCACGGGTTCAAGCGATTCTGCTGTCTCAGCCTCCCAAGTATGGATTACAGGTATGTGCTACTAGGCCCAGCCAAATTATTTACTGATCATTTTTGGTTTTGTTGCCCAGGCTGGAGTGCAGTGGTGTCCTCTGTGTACTGCAATCTTTGCCTCCCGGGGTCAAGTGGCTTGCCTCTCTCGGCCTCCTGAGTAGCTGGGACTGTAGGCACCCACTACCACACTTGGCTAATTTTTTTGTATTTTTAGTAGAGATGAGATTTCTCAACATTGGCCAGGATGTTGTTGATCTCCTGACCTTGTGATCTGCCCACCTCAGTCTCCCAGAGTGCTGGGATTACAGGAGTGACACACTCTGCCTGGCCTATTTTTCTATTTTTAATAAAGATTTTCACCACGTTGGCCAGGCTGGTCTCGATCTGACCTCAGGTGATCTGCCTGCCTTGGCCTCCGAAAGTGCTGGGGTTACAGGTATGAGCCATTGTGCCTGGTAAATAAGTTTATGTACCAGTGCTGCATCCATGTCATGTGAGCTGGTGTCTTCACCTCCATATAAATATGTTTACATGCTTTTGGAAAGAATGAAAATCTGTGGATGACGACTAAAAATGAGGAACGGCGGAAAAAAAGTCCTGAAGTTTAAATGGACCCGTTTTCTCTAGTGGTGCTTGAAACGAACTGGTTACGGGGGTCAAAAACATGATTCATCGCACCAGGGTGGTCTTTGGTAGCTCTGAGTGGCCACCGTGAGTTCAGTCTTAGTCTTGAATGCAATAGATAATCCTTATCAATTCCAATGAGCCAGTTAAACGGATTTCATGGAACTCTGCAATGGATTACTAAAATGTTCACGGCGGGGCGCCGTGGCTGAAGCGTGTAATCCCAGCGCTTTGGGAGACTGAGGCAGGCAGATAATCTGAGGTCAAGAATTCAAGACCAGCCTGGGCAACATGGTGAAACTGTACTAAAAATACAGAAGTTAGCCAGGCATGGTGATGCACACCTATAATCCAAGCTACTTGGGTGGCTGAGGCAGGAGAATTGCTTGAACCCAGGAGGGGGGAGGCGGAGGTTGCAGTCAGCTGAGATCATGCCATTGCACTCCAGCCTGGGAGACAGAGCGAGACTCCGTCTCTCTCTCTCACACACACACAAGTTCACATTGATCCCGGAGCATTAGGACCTTGGTTTCCTACTGCTGTGTGGATGGATGAGACCTCAGCTGGCATCTGAGAACCCTGGGGAGGGGAAAGAATCAAAACCAGATATACCTGCACCCAACTCCCAGGGCCTCACCTTCTCAAAACATCAACCACTGTCGCCTTATAGTGCAAAAAGCATTGTTGAGTGAAGTGCATGCACAAGTTTGATCGTGCCCCAAGTGCAAACTTGCCTTGAGAAAAATGTCATTTCCACGTCCCCCTCTTAAACATTAAGAGACCGTCTCCTACCTCTTAGGTCTGGGCAGCCTACCCCAGAATCTTGGCTCTCCCTCTCTGCCCGAATCGAAATCAGAGATTTGAAAAAGTCTGGCAAAAGGTTTTTGAAAGGTCACCAGGCCATTTCTTTGCTACCTTTAGTGGTGGTAGCATTTATCTTACCATAGACGTCAAGTCAAAAAAAAGTTCCGCAGACATTTGCGTCAGTAAAGCAAAGAGACTGGGCCTGGCTCCGCGGGACTCAGTGGTGCCCGCTGGCCCTGCCAGCTCTGCTGAGTCTGTGAGGACTGGAAGGCTTTGGAGCTGCTGCGCCGACTCCGACGTGGAAAAAGCATGTAGTCGGGGCAGCGCCTGTTTCCACAAGGAACGCAAAAAGGTGGCGTCAAGGATTACGGTCCCCCTTGCAGTAAAGTAACTGGGCAGGAAGGCGACAAAGGTACTGCGGCTCCGAACCACAGTGGGTAACAAGGGAAACCTGCTCAGACCTGTGTGTGCATCGCCAATGTCGGATTTTGGTTTGGTTTTGTTTTTTTACTTTTAAAAAGATATAAAGTCTTTGGTTCTTTGCATGAAAACATTAGTAGTGGGATGGGAAATTTATTTGGATGAAGTTCAGTAGTTACTCAAGTGATAGTCGCTCTTCCTGGGAGGATCTTAGTGATCATTAAGGTCCGGGCCACCCTTAATAAGTGCCTGTTAACAGCAGCAGTCATTGATTTTTGAAAGTGTGTGGTCGGCAGCAGAAAGCCTGGTACAGCCTTGCTTCTACCGTTTTCTCGGTTGTTTTGGAATCGCCTTTGCAAAAGCCATGCACGGCTATAGTTCTGTGATAGCACCCAGGGCTCATGGTCTCTCTCTGCTGTGTACCAAATGCGTCGAACTAGCGCTGAGGACTTCTTGCAGGGGATGTCTGTTTAACAGCGGTCATTTCTGCTTCCCTGGCGGTGAAAGCAGGAAACACCTGGAATCCTTAGATTCTGAAAACTTCATGTTACTCTCTGGAATATGTGCGTGCATGTGTGTGTGTGCATGCGTGTGCATGCGTGCGTGCATGTGTATAAGTATGATCTGCTCTAGTGCATTCTCTCAAGTGATTTTTTTAAACTGTATGATTTATTGCCTACTTTGTAAATGCAACAGGCTTACACAGCAGTTGGTCCATAACCTGCCCCCAAGCACACAGCCCTCATGACCCTACACTGGCCAAATTCACCCTTTTTTTTTTTTTTTTTTTTGAGACAGAGTCTCGCTCTTGTCACCCAGGCTGGAGTGCAGTGGTGTGATTTCGGCTCACTGCAACCTCCGCCTCCCAGGTTCAACCAATTCTCGTGCCTCAGCCTCCCAAATAGCTGGGATTACAGGTGCCTGCCACCATGCCTGGCTAATTTTTGTATTTTTAGTTGAGACGAGGTTTCACCATGTTGGCCAGGCTGCTCTCGAACTCCTGATCTCAAGTGATCTGCCCACCTTGGCCTTCCCAAGTGCTGGGATTACAGGGTGAGCCACTGCACCCAGCCCCAAAATTGCTCTTATTTGGATCGGGAAAGTCTGTCTACTGTTCTCTGAGGGGCAACTAACTATTAGTATTCATTACCATACAGTAATGTTGTTTGTGAAACAAAACCAAACAAATTTTTAAAAAGCAAAATAAAAGCTCTGTGAAGTTATAATGTGAGGCTGGTAGGATTTTACGGGAAAGGTGTAGTATTCTGGAAAATTCTGAGATTGCACCACTAATGCCTGGCTAAGGAAGGAGTTTGCTGAGAGAAAACTCTTTAAGTTGTGTCCGTCTGTCAATTCATCCATTCATCCATCTAGCTATCACCTCAGCTCCTCTGAGTTCAGAATCTTGCTGAAGTTCATACAGTTAACACTCAGGAACCAGGACTCTGCTCTTCTCACCAGTGGGGCAGCCCAATTAGCAGACTTTTGGCCCTGTATCCCAAATTTTTCTGGAGTGTTATTGAATCAGATTATGAAGAGATGCCACAATTAAGGAACATTGACCCTTATTTTCTGTGTAAGGTCAATTTTCTACTTGGAGGGAGGTTAATGCTTAAGCTCCTCTAACAAAGTATTAAACATAACCCAGCTGGTGCTCTGTGGACTCAGGGCTTGTGCTGGAGACCTGGCTGCAGGGCCACAGGCTCCATAGCGATACAAGGGTGGTCTGAAAGGCAGGCTGTGCCCACCACGCCCCTAAATATCTCTTCCTAAGCAAAAACGGACCACGCTCTGCTTTTGCCTGAGTAAGGGCTGCTGATTAGGTTTTTTTAAAAAAAATTTATTTTGGAATTTTTTTAAATGTACAAGAAATTTGCAAAGGTAGTACCGAATCCCTATATACCCATTGTCCAATTTTAGTTGCTGCTAATATTATCAACTCATATTACATTTGTGGTACATTTGTCAAAACTAAGAAATTAGCACTGATGCATTATACTAACTCAACCCCAGACTTTATTCTGATTTCACTAGTTTTTCCATTCAGGTTGCTTTTTGTTCCAGGATCCAGCCCATATTACACGTTGTGTTTGGTTGTTGTACCTCCTTAGTCTTTTCTGCTCTATGACAGTTTCTGTCTTACCTTGTTTTTCGTGACCTTGACAGTTTGGAGGAATACTAGCCAGGTATTTTTTCAAATGGTCCTCAATTTGGGTTTGTTCGATGCATTTTTCTCATGCTTAGACTGCAGTTGTGAGTTCTGGGGGGAAAGAATACCACAGAGTTGTAAAACGCCCTTCTCATCATGCCAAATCGGGGGTACAGTAGACACAGGATGTCGCTGAGGGGTTATCTTTGATCCCTCGGTCAAGATAATGTTTTCCAGGCTTCTCCACAGTAAAGTGACCCCTTTTCTCTTTCCATACCCCATTCTTTGGATGTGAGTTATGAAATCAGTGTACCCTCAGGGGTGGGGGGATTAAACTCTACCACCTGGGGGAAAAGTGTTAGATTGTTTTTTGAGAACTGGGGATCACCTGGCTCCATCCTCCCCTGTTTATAATTTGCCATTTCATTGTATTGTGAGGGAGAATGTGTCCATCCTTTCATAGCTAACTTAGCAGTTAAATTTTGTCCTGGGCACTGTGGATGTAGGACGTAGAGGTGAACAGGAAATAGACCAGTGGAAAAGACGTGGAGGGCAAGGCCGATGTAATAAAGTTTAAATACAGCTCATGCATAAAATCACAGTGGGACCTGGTTTGGATTTAAGCTTTTTCATCTAAAAACTTGGGATAATAATAGCTTCCTCTTGAGTAATTGTGAGAATTAAGTTGGACAGTGAATGCGGAAGGACTAAACATAGTGTTTGATATGTAGTAGCTGCTCAATAAATGTTAGTTGTCTTCCTTCAAGAAGAAAATGATGGACCCAGGCCGGGCACAGTGGTTCACGGCTGTGATCCCAGCACTCTGGGAGGCCGAGACGGGCAGATCACGAGGTCAGGAGTTCGAGACTAGCCTGGCCAACATGGTGAAACCTCGTCTCTACTAAAAATACAAAAATAATTGGACGTGGTGGTGGGCACCTGTAATCCCAGCACTCGGGAGGCTGAGGCAGGAGAATCATTTGAACCCGGTGGCAGAGTTTGCAGTAAGCCTAGATTGCACCATTGTACTCCAGCCTGGGTGACAGTGCGAAACTACATCTTGAAAAAAAAAAAAAAAGAAAAAAATAACATGATGGACCTTTGCTGCTAACAGCATGGATTCTGGCACCAAACTGCCTGCTTTTGAGACGTGGTTCTATGGCTTCAAGCCTGTGTGACCTTGGGAGAGTTAATCAACTTCTCAGTGCCTCATATTTTTCTTGGGTAAAAGGAGGATAATAATAGTATCCCTCTCATAGGGTTGCTGTGAGTATGATTCATTGTATGTAAAGAGCACAGAACAGCGCATGGCACATTGTGTGTTACAAGTGTTTGCAAATATTCCATATCATTCCATTCATTCATATCTTAGGCAGTACAATATGCATTAATTTGGTATTTAACCATTCTATTGAATTCAATAGATTAGAATTCAGTTATTCAATAGATTAGATTTTTATTTATTTATTTTTCATCTTTTATTTATTTTTTGAGACGGAGTCTCACCCTGTCGCCCAGGCTGGAGTGCAGTGGCTTGATCTCGGCTCACTGCAAGCTCCACCTCCCGGGTTCACACCATTCTCCTGCTTCAGCCTCCCAAGTAGCTGGGACTACAGGTGCCTGCCACCATGCCCGGCTAATTTTTTGTATTTTTAGTAGAGATGGGGTTTCACTGTGTTAGCCAGGATGGTCTCGATCTCCTGATCTCATGAGCCACCTGCCTTGGCCTCCCAAAGTGCTGGGATTATAGGTGTGAGCCACTGCGCCCAGCTAGATTTTAATTTACTAATGTAATAACCATTCTATAGAATTTTATTTATTTATTGAGACATAGTCTTGCTCTGTTGCCCAGGCTGGAGTGCAGTGGCACAATCTCGGCTCACTGCAACCTCCACCTCCTGGGTTCAAGCGAGTCCCCTGCCTTGGCCTCCCCAGTAGCTGGGTTTACAGGTGTGCACCACCATGTCTAGCTAATTTTTTTGCATTTTTAGTAGAGACGGGGTTTCATCATGTTGGCCAGGCTGGTCTCCAATTGCTGACCTCAGGTGATCCGCCTGCCTCGAACCCCCCAAAGTGCTGAGATTACAGGCATAAGCCACGGCACCCAGCCCCATTCTATAGAATTTAATGGATATAGATTACTATACCAATTTAATTTTTTCTTTCTCCCATATTCCACCCAACCTAGCAACACTGAGATATAATTGAGATAAACTTCACATACATGTACAATTGATGAGTTTTAACTTATTAAAATATCTGTGAAATCATCACTTCAGTAAAACACAGAACATATTCATCAGCCCCAAAAGGTTTCCCCGGGTCCCTTTGAGATGTCTCCCTTCCAGATAACTGCTGATTGACTTTCTGTCGCTATAGAAAGTTTGCACTTTTAGTTTGCATTTTCTAGATTTCTATATTAATGAAATCTTATAGCAGGAACTTTGTTTTCTGGTATGGCTTCTTTCAGCATTAATATTTTGAGGTTTGTCCATGTTGTTGCACGTATTAATAGTTTACTCCTTTTATTACTGGGAAGTATTCCCTTGTATGACTATACCATACTTTTTTTAATCCATTCACCTGCTGATAGACATTAGTATTACTTCCACTTTTTTTTTATTTGTTTGAGATGGAGTGTTGCTCTGTCACCCAGGCTGGAGTGCAGTGGCGCGATCTCAGCTCACTACAGCCTCTGCCTCCGAGTAGTTGGTATTAAAGGCGCACGCCACCATGCATGGCTAATATTTGTATTTTTAGTAGAGATGAGGTTTCACCATGTTGACAGGCTGGTCTCGAACTCCTGATCTTGTGATCTGCCCATCCAGCCTCAAAAAGTCCTGGGATTACCGGCATGAGCCCCTGTGCCAGGCTTTTTTTTTTTTTTTTTTTTTAAATAAAGATGTCATAAACAGCTATATACAAGAGTATATACCAACATATGATTTGAATTCCCTGGAATAAATATAGTTGATCCTTATTTGCGGGTTATGTGTTTTAAATTCACCTACTCATTAACATGTTTGTGTAACCCCAAAAGTATTAACCTTACAAGTAGTATTCATGGTCACTTGCCCATATGTGCAGAGCTGCCAAAAGTCTAAGTTCCCAGGCTTGCACATTCCCAGCTAAGGTTGAACAAGATGACTCTACTTTCTTGTTTCAGCTCATACACAGAGGTGACTAGAAAATAGAGACGGGGCCAGGCATGGTGGCTCATGCCTGTAATCCCAGCACTTTGGGAGGCCGAAGCAGGTGGATCACGTGAGGTCAGGAGTTCGAGACCAGCCTGGCCAACATGGTGAAACCCCATCTCTACTAAAATACAAAAAATTAGCCAGGCGTGGTGGAGGCGCCTGTAATCCCAGCAACCCAGGGGGCTGAGGGAGGAGAATCGCTTGAACCTGGAAAGTGGAGGTTGCAGTGAGCTGAGATTGAGCATGCCACTGCACTCCAGCCTGGGCGACAGAGCAAGACTCTATCTCAAAAAAAAAAAAAAAAGAGAAACGGGAGGGAACATTATACATTATAGGGCAAAAAGTTGCAGCTGTGGGGCCAGCTGGACAGATCTGAATCTCACCTCCGGCGCCTGTAGATCCCGGAGCATTAGGACCTTGGATGTTTTTAAAAGAATATTCTCTGATCACACGGAATTAAGTTGGAAATCAGTAGCAGAAAACGCCCCTTGGTGGAGTATCTCAGGCAAGACTCTTAACACTTTGGAACATAGTTTTCTCTTTTATAAAATAAAAGAAAATCAATCAGGATGAGTTGTCTTGGAGATTTAAGATTATAATCCATGTTAGATATATATCCTCTAGCGACAATATTTCAGAGTTAGCTAATTCAGTTTGTGGCAACTTTATAGAAATAACTACCTCGAATAATGAGAAGCAATTGTACCTAGAGGGGATGGATAGGTCTTACGACGGGTATATTTAAGAGTTTAGGAAACTACTGAACTATTGTCCAAAGTGTTTGTGTGATTTTACATTTCCAGCAGGATAGGAAATTTCCAGTTGATTCACATCTCACCAACACACGGTATGGCCAATCTCTTTAATTTTCGCTATTTTAGTGGGATTATAACAATATTTCCTTGTGATTTTAATTAGCACTAAGCTTGCAATGAATAATGATTTTGAATATCTTCTCAGGTATTTATTTACCTTCTGTGTGTCTTCTTTAATAATCTGTTCAAATCTTTTCCTCATTATTTAAAAAATCAACTTTATTGGTCTTTATTTTTAAGAACATGCTTCTCACATATTTACCTATGTAACAAACCTGCACATCCTGCACATGTACCCCAGAACTTAAAAGTTGAAGAAAAAAAATTTTAATCTTAAAAAAAAAAAACATGCTTCTGCCTTCATTGATTTTTTTTTCCCCATTTTTTTCCTGTTTTTCAGTTTATTGATTTTTGTTCCTATCTTTAGTATTTCTTTGATTCTGCATGGTTTGGGTTTAATATAGCCTCTTGCTTTATTTTGTTAGAGAGGAAACTGAAGTCATTGATGAGAGAACTTTCTTCTTTTTTAATGTAGGTATTTCATGCTGTAAATTTTTCTCTGCATTGCGTTAGCTGAATCCCACAAATTTTGATACATCATGTTTTCATTTTCATTAAGCACAAAGTCCTTTCTAATTTCCCTTTTAGTGTCTCTTTTGGACTACGAATTATTTAGAAGTATGGTCTGAAATTCCAAATATTTGGGCATTTTCCAGATATCTTCCTGTTACCGATTTCCAACTTAATTCCACGTGATCAGAGAACATCCTTTAAAAAAAAAAAAGAAAAGGTACTTTTTTGGCTCATGGTTCTGCAGGCTGTACAAGAAGCATGGCACTGGCTTCTGCTTGGCTGCTGGTAAGGGCTCTTGTGCTACGTCAAAACATGGCAGAGAAGGTCAAAGGGGAAGTGGGCACATGAGAAGCAACGTTCCTTATAGGACCTGAACCCTGGTGTATTTATCAAGACTTGCTTTATGGCCCAGAAGATGATCTATTTGGTAAATGTGTACATGAAAATAATGTGTATTCTTTGTTGTTGTTGTTGTTTTGAGACGGACTCTTGTTCTGTCACCCAGGCTGGAGTACAGTGGTGTGATCGCAGCTCACTGCAACCTCTGCCTCCTGGGTTCCAGCAATTCTTCTGCCTCGGCCTCCCAAGTAGCTGGGACTACAGGCATGAGCCACCACGCCTGGCTATTTTTGTATTTTTAGTAGAAACAGGGCTTCACCTTGTTGGCCAGGCTGGTCTTGAACTCCTGACCTCAAGTGATCCACCCGCCTCGGCCTCCCAAAGTGCTGGGATTACAGGCACGAGCCACCACGCCCGGCCAAGAATGTATATTCTCATATTGTTGGGTGAAGGGCTCTTTCTATGTCAAATAGGTCGACCTTCTATATCCTTCGTGGTTTTGTGGCAGCTGTTCATCTAGTTTGACTGTGCTGAGGCAATCCCCTTCTAAGTATACTACCTAATGACTTAGAATTACAAGGTTTTTCTACTCCAGCTGGAAGGAACACAAACAATTGTTAGCCCCGTGTAAGCTTTGCTGTTTCTTTTCTCTAATCCTCGGGTCATTCTTTCCTTGGCATTGGGTCATTTCTTTGCATATTTCCTGATCGGTCGTTAGCTAAAGACTTGAGGGAGACCCTCTTGCATGTGTCTGGAGTTCTCTCTCTGGACTATCTCCTTCACAGTAACTCCACCCTAGGAACCTCAGCAGTCTTGACCTCCTCAAACTCTCAAATCTGTCTGCTCCATTCAAGGAGATGGCCAGGCTCCCCCTGGACTCCTCTGCCTGCCCTGTGGCAGAATAACTCTGTACTCAGTAAGCTGGGGCAATCGCGGGGCTCATATCATTAGTTTCCCCTCTTTCGGAGTTCACTGTCCCGTGCTGTGTGATGTCCTATGTTTGCAAACTGTTGGCTATAGTAACGATGAAATATGCGTCCTGATTACTGAATTGCTATCTAATTAAGCTTTCATTTTGGTTTAACAACTTACTTGACTTATTCCCGATAATGTATACGCTAGAATGTTCCTTGATTCTGAACTTAAACACCAGTGGCATGAAAGAAGAAGGCTACTGAGAATTGTAAACCTTCATCCTTGGCCCTGCTCTTGCTGATTCAGTATCCTGCAGAGCTGAGCTTCCTTCGGCTTTTTCACTCCTGTGTCAGGCTCTCCTACCGTGCTCTCTTCTGAGGTTCACATTCACCATTATTGGATTCTTCTTGTTGCTGTTATTGTATCTTTATTTTCTAATTGTTATAAAAATTTGTCCCTGAACCCCAATTTGGTGCAACTTATTGTTCCCAGGTTTGTTTGTTTTTCTCCCTGGCCTGAACCTCATCCACTTCTTTGCATTTCTTTTGGCATATGTGTCTTTTAATGGCATTTTAATCTCTTTTTAAAACCTCAATATTTCAAAGGCATTTGCTTATTATGACAAATTCAAATGCTATAGGAATGTATAAATTTACAAATTAAACTTTTCTCCAAGTCAAAGTGGGAACTCTGGGTCTGGTCAGAACACCTGATTTTTTTAAACATGCCTTCATTCTATTAACTCAATTATCAAGTTAGCTTCCTCATTATAAATAATATGCAAGGCCAGACACGGTGGCTCACGCCTGTAAATCCCAGCACTTTGGGAGGCCAAAGCAGGTGGATCACTTGGGCTCAGGAGTTCAAGACTAGCCTGGACAACATGGCAAAACCCCATCTCTACAAAAAATACAAAAAATTAGCCAGGCATGGTGGTACGTGCCTGTAGTCCCAGCTACTTAAGGAGCTGAAGCAGGAGTATCTCTTGAGCCCAGGAGGTCAAGGCTGCAGTGAGCTGTGTTCACACGACTGTATTCCAGCCTGGGTAGCAAAGCAAGACCCTGTCTGAAAAGAAAAAAAAAAGATATACATATATTTTCAGACATTATATAATTCAATTAGACATTACCCTACCAAAGAGGACTGTATTGTCAAACAAGCTCACATAGGGCCACTCGTGGTGGCTCACACCTGTCATCCCAGCACTTCAACTTTGGGAGGCTGAGGCAGGAGGATTGCTTGAGCCCGGAAGGTTGAGGCTTCACTGAGCCATATTCATGCCACTGCACTCCAGCTTGGCTGACAAAGCAAGACCCCGTCTCAAAATAAAAAAGAAACTTAGCTAAAAAAATGAGTTTGGGCAACACTGGAAGAAATAAAGCCAAGCAAGTTTCTTTACCGCTTCGCAGATCTTCTTCTGAGCTAGTTTAAATTGTCAACTTTCAAGGTGGGGGAGGGATTAGCCCTTTTCAAATAGCCTTTTTGTATGAGTAAATCCATAATAAAAGTTGATCAATAACCAGTAGACATTTAAACTTCAAATATAAGGGAATAAAACAAACACTGATTTTAGACACTGTTTGAATTAATCAAGCCCGGGCTCCACTTTACAAACATCTGTCTCTGAAGGTTATTAAATTTGGCGTTGGCCTGTGCACTTCAGTGGCCAGGAGGTCAGAAGGCAAGGGAAGGCCAGAAATGACTGCTTCCCCCCACCGAACCCTCTCCTGGATCTGGAAAGAATATGTAGAAAAAAGGATAGTGTTTTAATTTATTCTTGATTAATCTCTTAATTTCATTAAAGTGAATTAAGTTTTTCAGAACACAGAAAAGAACTTCATAAAAATACCAGATATATTTTTTTCTTTTCATGAACATAAACTGCCCAGAAGTCTCTGGGTATTTCTTTCAGGAATTTCAGATCTCCTGCCATAGTTTGAAACATGGTACTGTCTCAGGATGTGGTATTTGGTCCACTGTGATACTCCTAGAGCAGATGCAGTTTCCGCTTTGACATTTCTGGATTTCAGAAATTAGCTCCACACATTGAGACTGAACAAAATCTTTTCCCTGCTTATAAAAGCAGTGCAAGCTCTGGAATAGAGTAAAAGTAATAAAAATAATCCATAATGCTACAACTCAGTGAGAACCACTGTTAACATTCTTGTGTATATATCCCAGTCTTTTTATTCTGTGTATATGTGAATGTATGTGTGTGCATCTGTGTAGGAAGAAATGTGTCTGGGCTGGGCGTGGTGGCTCACACCTGTAATCCCAACACGTTGGGAGGCCTAGGTGGTCAGATCACCTGAGGTCAGGAGTTCAAGACCACCCTGGCCAACATGGTGAAACCCCATCTCTACTAAAAATACAAAAGTTAGCTGGGCGCAGTGGCAGGCACCTGTAGTCCCAGCTACTAGGGAGGCTGAGGCAGGAGAATGGCTTGAACCCGGGAGGCAGAGATTGCAGTGAGCTGAGATCATGCCACTGCACTCCAGCCTTAGCGACAGAGTGAGACCCTGTTTCAAAAAAAAAAAAAAAGTATCTGTTTCTCACCCCTGTATTCCAAATACTCAGCACCTATCTACCTCAGTCCTTGGTATAGGAAAGGCATTTCTTAAGTAGAACATGAATAAATATTAGGGGCCAGGCATGGTGGCCCACACCTGTAATCCCCGCACTTTGGGAGGCCAAAGTGAAAGGATTGCTTGAGCCCAGGTGTTCAAAACCAGCCTGAAAAAGATGGTGAGACTCTCCCCCCCGAAAAAAAGGATCACAATGGGTCCGTTCTTAACCACTTTCAAGTATTCCATTGGAGCTGCCTGATCTCCACCTAGCGATGGTCTAGTACAGTGAGAACTCCCAGATGTGCCCCTTCTGGTGAGAGGCAAGCTTCCTGACAACGCCATGCTGAGTGTTTGATTGGCCGGCCAGACCTGTTCATAAAGCATTTCACAAACCGTCCTTTCTTACGCAAACTAGCTGGGAATAAACAGGCCCCCTGTGGGTCTTAGAACTAAAGCAAATATGAACCTCAAAGAACAAAGGAAAATCATTACTGGTGGCAGGAATATGAGAGTGCTTCCACAATACTATTTCACAAGTCTTTTCTACATGGGCTTCAGTCACAAAGGTGGTTTGACATTCACTGAGCAGCATGGGAACAATTCTAGAACACTTATTCTATCCCTGAGCTATTTCTGGGATAAAAATATTGTTAAAATACGGCTGGGCACCGTGGCTCATGCCTGTAATCCCAGCACTTTGAGAGGCTGAGGCAGGCAGATCACCTGAGGTCAGGAGCTTGAGACCAGCCTGGCCAACATGGTGAAACCCCATCTCTACTAAAAATACAAAAGTTAGCCAGGTGTGGTGGTGTGTGTCTATAATCCCAGCTACTTGGGAGGCTAAGGCAGGAGAATCACTTGAACCCTGGAGGTGGAGGTTGCAGTGGGCTGAGGTCGTGCCATCGCACTCCAGCCTGGGTGACAGAGCGAGACTCTGTCTCAAAAAAAAAAAAAAAAAAAAAAATATATATATATATATATATATATAAACTATATATGTAATTTTAACTATATGCATATATAATATTCTTGACAAAAAGAACACTATTGTTTATTCTAATAAAACAAACACACCTCTTCTCTTCCAAAAAGAATGTGAGACAGCTTAGACTGTTACAGTACTGTGAAGGGAACTATTAAAATTTATACCATATTCTAGTTGTCAAATGTTCAGAATAGGAAAGACTTTAGAATCAGAAGGTAGATTAGCAGCTCTCAGGGACCCAGGGAGTTGGGGCAGGGATGTAATGGTTGGATGGTTTCTTTTGGGATAATACAAATATTGTGGAATTAGATAGAGATGATGGTTGCACAACCTTGTGTGAATATACTGAAAACCACTGAACTGTACATTTCAAAAGGGAGAATTGTATGGTGTATGAATTAAGTTTCAATAAAGTCGTTACAGAAAATTTGCATCATAACAGTGGCTTGCGTGTGTAACAAGTTCCTACTTTCAGAGTACCTTCCTTTTATTATATAACTTTTAATATCATTATAACCTTATAAAATACACAGGGCAAGTTTATGTAATCTCCCTTAATAGTTGGTAGAGCTGAGACCCAAAGAGACTCAGTGATTTTGCCAACATCACACATCTACTTAGAGGTAGAGCCAGATTTCGAATAAAAATATTCCAGTTCCTATCCAGTGAACCTCTATTGTTCAACGTCCCATTAATGGGTTATACTCAATATCCAGCTACTCAATTTCATATATTTTATATGATGTTATTAAATAATAACAGCTCTTATTATTAAGTGCCTGTTATGTGCCAGGTAGCATCATACACTGTTTTTGTTTGTTTTGCTCTTTAGAGAGCAGATCTTGCTATGTTGCCCAGGCTGGAGTACAGTGGCTATTCACAGGCTGGATCACAATGCACTGCAGCCTTGAACTCCTGGGCTCCAGTAATTCTCCCGCCTCAGCCTCCCCAGTAGCTGGTACTACAGGTGCATGTCATCATGCCCTGCTATTACAAGTCATTATACAAACCTCATAAAGTTTTGTTAGCTGCATTTTACTTCTTTTGGAAGGTAGCTTATTCGTCCAAGGTTGCCCCACAGGGGACATTTAGCAGTGCGTGGAGACGTTTTTGGTTGTCACAGTGGGAGGGGGAGGATGCTACTAGCATCTAGTGGGTAGACGCCACGTATGCTGCTAAACGTGCAACAATGAACAGGACAGGCCCCACCACAGACAATTATCTGGTCTAAAATATTGATAGTGCCAAGGGTGAGCAACCCTGCTTTAAATGATGATGACATAGTATGTGTGAAAACCCTCTACAAATCCATACTGCTATTTTTACCATTTTACAAGTAGATTTTTCTAGTATGACAGCTATTCCTGGCAATGTTAGCCAGCACTAGGCCCTCAGCTCATGTTTGTTGGGTAGACCAGTGCATGTCAAAGATGATTAGCAAACATTATGCTAAGTGAAATTAGCCAGTCACAAAAAGAAAAATATTGCATGATTTCACGAACATGGGGTATTTAAAGTAATCAAACTCATGAAAACAAAAAGCAGAATGTGGTTGCCAGGAGTTGGGGGGAGAGGAAATGGAGAGTTGTTCTTTGATGGGTATGAAGTTTCAACTTTGCAAAGGTGAGAAAGTTCTAGACATCTGTCATACAACAATATGCAATATAGTTAACACTATATTGCACACTCAAAGGTGGTTCAGATGGTAAATTTTATGGTAGGTGTTATTTACACAATTTTTAAAACTTTAGGTGGGCGCGGTGGCTCATGCCTGTAATCCCAGCGCTTTGGGAGGCCGAGGCAGGAGGATCACTTGAGGTCAGGAGTTTGAGACCAGCCTGGCCAACATGATGAAACCCCATCTCTACTAAAAATACAAGCAATTAGCTGGGCATCGTGGCACATGTCTGTAATCCCAACTACTCGGGAGGCTGAGGCAGGAGAATTGTTTGAACCCAGGAGGCAGAGGTTGCAGTGAGCTGATAATTGCACCACAGCACTCCAGCCTGGGCAACAGAGCTAGACTCCGTCTCAAAAAGCAAAACAAACAAACAAAAAAACCTGTTTTAGCAAGTCTTCAACATTAGTGATTAGGGGTAGAATTTGAAGTTTCCAGGTTACTGTGGCAGTGTGTACACCTGATTAAACACTACTCTTCCAGCTAATTTGACAGAAATGCAACAATATATTAAATATGGAAGGAGAGGGGCAGGTGATGGGAGAGAGAAGTTGTGAAAAGCCCCACAATGTGTCCTCATCCTGGAGACACTGAGTATGTGCTTGAAAATAGGCTGGTTCCATCGTGTAATGGTTAGAACTCTGGACTCTGAAAATAGGCTGATGTATTGGACTAACCTGTAATTGTGAGAAATAATTTATTTGCAGAAGATAAAAGACTTAGAGGACATTTATAAATATAAATGTTATTAGAATTAGGTGACCTTCAAAGGAGTACTGAATACGCCTGTTGGTTTTGGTCACAAAGTTTCCCAAATCATTTTTGTTTTGCTTCGATTATATTTACCTAATCCTGATAAGTTTCACCCGAATGAATAAATGTTATCGCTCTGAGCTTCAAAGTGCAAATATTTTACCAGCCTCATTGAAAAGCACAAATATTATCTTTAGCATAGATTGGTTTCTCAGGGTAGAAAACTGCATATAAGAACAAATCTCATGAAGTTAAGGTTATCTCATTCCCTATTTAATTTGTCCTTTAGTTGAATAGTGAGTTAGAGCTAGAGACATGCTTATAAAATTTTGTTTTCTGATGTCTTCTCTGTAGGACAAATGGAAGGAAAGATTTTTGGAAGCAGCTTCTTGTGTCCGACCCGCTGTGATCAGCTGCTACTCCCAGGTCTGGGGTTAGATGGCTTTGTGACTTTCCTTCTCTGGATGGCATTTTGCTTTCCTCTGTAAAATGGTGTGATGAATGAGATGACCTCTAAGCCTCTTTCCATGTCTGTCACTGGACTGTCCTCTTATGTAGCCATTTAAGTTTTCTAATTAAAAAAAAAAAATTTAAAATTTGATGCTCAGTTAAGTTACATCAAAATAATTAAAATGAAACTACAGGTTGAGTATCCCATATCCAAAACGCTTGGGACCAGAAGTGTTCTGAATTTCAAGTTTTTTCTAGGTTGGAAAATTTGCATATACATAATGAGATGTCTTGGGGATGGGACCCAAGTCTGAACATGAAATTCATTTATATTTCATATACACCTTATGCACATAGCCTGGAGATAATTTTATACACTATTTTAAATAATTGTGTCCAAGAAGCAAAGTTTTGGCTGCTGTTCGACTGAGACCCATCACATGAAGTCAGGTGTGGAATTTTCCACTGATGGTGCCACATTAACTCTCAAAAAGTTTTGGATTTTGGAGCATTTCAGATCTCAGATTTTCAGACTAGGGATGCCGAACCTCTATGTAATTTTGCTTTGAATGTGTCTGGGACACTGGGGAAATTTTGATTTTTAAGATTCATCTCTAATTCTGAAAATAACCTGGTTGGGTGCAGTGGCTCACGCCTGTAATCCCATCATTTTGGGAGGCTGAGTTGGGCAGATCTCCTGAGGTCAGAAGTTCGAGACCAGCCTGGCCAACATGGTGAAACCCTGTCTCTACTAAAAGTGCAAAAATTAGCTATGCATGGTGGCACACACCTGTAGTCCCAGCTACTTGGGAGGCTGAGGCAAGAAAATCGCTTGAGCCTGGGAGGCAGAAGTTGCAGTGAGCCAAGATCGCGCCACTGCACTCCAGCCTGGGTGACAGAGGGAGACTTCGTCTCTAAATAAATAAATAAAATCTAAGTGATGGCACGTCACCCCGGGGCATCTTTCCACTTTCACATTCTCTCCTGGCTGCTTTACCTGCCCTGCCAGCACAGTCCAGAGGGCCCCCACTAGCATTCCACATGCCAGGCCTTGCTTAGATGGAAGGCCTTTTCTTCCATCTAATCTAACCTGTCTCTTGTCCCATTTTTCCAGAACCTCTATTGGATGGCATTTTCTAGAACCTCTATTGGTTACTTACGGCATAATGAGATATATAGAGGTTATTGCTAGGTCATCCTTCTTGACTCAAATCTCATTTAAGCAATTAGCTTCCTTATGAAACTTCATAAGGGTCATTGTGGATCCCTTGGCTGGCTGATGGGGCTGAGATCTTGGGATAGGCAGGTTTTTCCTTGCGCCTCGAATGCCACGTTGAATACTCCTCATGTCTTTGGAGACATGTCCTTCCCTTCGAGCTGCTCCCAGTCAGGTGAGGAATAAAATGCTATGATGGCGTGAAAATTCTCCCTTGGTCTCATCCATAGATTTGCAATCACCTAAAAAAAAAAAAGGAAGAGTGTGCCAAGCCACCCCATATAGAGCCACTGTGTGGCAGCACTGCCTCTCGCCAAAGCTTGGGCCACTCGGTGTCAGGCAAAGTGCAGTGGGGTGAGTTTCCAGTTCACTGGCGGTACAGGTAGCCCCTAGAAGCGATCGTGTGCAGTGAGAATAGCTAGCATTTCAGAGTGTTCACTATGCGTGAATACTGCTCAGAGTGCATTCTACTTATTAACACATCAACTCACAAAACAGCCCTACTGGTATTATCTTTATTTTACTGACAAAGAAATTAAGACAGATAGGAAAAGTGATTTGCCCAACGTCACACAACTAGGAACTAGCAAAGCCAGGATCTAGACCCACGCAAACCTCTCTTTGAAGCTCATGCTTTGCTACCAAATATCGTGTCATTCTGGCATTCACGAGGAAATCTTGAAAATAAAGCAAAAAGTTGTAAAATGGTATCAAGTCCACAATCGCTGTCTTGATGTAGTGCAAGCACAGTGGTATACAAGGGACATCCGTAGATACAGAGGAGAGGGTCAGCAAACCTTCTCTGGTAAAGGCCAGATGGAAAACATTTTAAGCTTCGGTGGTCAGATGTGGCAACAACTTAGCCCTGCCATTGTAACGTGAAAGCAGCCATAGGCCCTGTGTAAACAAATGAGGACGGCTGTGTTCCAATAAAATTGTATTTATGGACACCGAAATTTGAATTTCATATAATTTTCATGTGTCACAAAACATTTTTCTTCTTTGGATTTTCTCCCAACCATTTTAAAATATAAAACCATTCTAGCTGAGAGATTGTCTAAAAACATGCAGCGAGCCAGACTGGACCCCCCCAGCTGTGGTTTTGCTGATCTCTGGTATAGAGGAAAGAAGGGTGGCTAAACTTAATTCGGTGAGTGCCTACCATAAGCAAGGTGTTGAAAGTGCAGTGACCAGCAGACCGAAATAGTTCTCCATGGGACATTATGTTGAGTGAAATAAGCCAGGCACAGAGAGACAAATATTGCATGATCTCACTCATGTGGAATCCACATAGAAGTAGAGAATAGAACAGTGGTTACCAGAGAATGGGAAGGGAAAGGAGCAGGGGGGTGATGAGAGATGGATCAACAGGTGCCAAGCTATAGATAGAGAGGAAGAATAAGCTCTGGAGTTCTACTGCATAGGAGGAGGATTACAGTTAATAATAATGCATTGTATATTTCAAAATACCTGGAAGAGCAGTTTTTGAATGTTCTGATAACAAACAATAAATGTCTAAGGTGATGGATATGCTAATTACCATGATTTGATCATTACACAATGTATACATGTATTGGAACATCATGCTGCATCCCATAAATACGTATAATTACCACCTGTAAATCATACATTTAAAAATAAAATATTAACTTTTTGTTTTAAAAATAAATAGTCCTCCATGGACTAGTGGTAGAGCAAACAAACAAGCAATTGTAGGAGTACAAGGTTTTATTAGGGCAGGTGAAGGGCTTCTAACCCAGACTTGGAAGAGCAAGGAAGGGTCACCAGGGAAGCAGTGTCACATAGGGACCTGAAAGATGAGTAGGAACTCAAGACAAGGCAGGGGGAGAGAATATTCCAGGTAGATGGCCTATGCAGTGAGAAGAGATAAGCTTGAGGCTAGGCACAGTGGCTCATGCCTATAATCCCTTTGGGGGGTCAAGGAAGGAGGGTCCCTTGAGCCCAGGGGTTCAAGACCAGCCTGGGCAACATAGTGATACCCCGTCTCTACAAAAAAACGATTTTTATTTTTTTATTTTATTTTATTTTTTTTGAGACGGAGTTTCACTCTTGTTGCCCAGGCTGGAGTGCAATGGTGTGATCTTGGCTCACTGCAACTTCCACCTCCCGAGTTCAAGCGATTCTCCTGCCTCAGCCTCCCTAGTAGCTGGGATTACAGGCATGTGCCATCATGCCCAGCTAATTTTGTATTTTTGGTAGAGATGGTGTTTCTCCATGTTGGTCAGGCTGGTATCGAACTCCCAATCTCAGGTGATCTGCCTGCCTCGGCCTCCCAAAGTGCTGGGATTACAGGCATGAGCCACCTCGCCCGGCCCCAAAAAAAATTTTTTTAAGGCTGGGTGAGGTGGCTCACTCCTGTAATCCCAGCACTTTGGGAGGCCTAGGCGGGTGGATCACCTGAGGTCAGGAGTTCAAGACCAGCCTGGCCAACATGGTGAAACCACTTCTCTACTAAAAATACAAAAATTATCTGGGCGTGGTGGTGGGTGCATGTAATCCCAGCTACTTGGGAGGCTGAGGCAGGAGAATTGCTTGAACCTGGGAAGCAGAGGTTGCAGTGAGCTGAGATCGCACCATTGCACTTCAGCCTGAGCAACAAGAGTGAAACTCTGTCTCAAAAAAAAAGAAACAAAATCTTATGTTTAATTAGGCAAGCAATGTGGCTGGCACCTGTAGTCCCAGCTACTCAGGAGACTGAGGCAGGA
Organism: Homo sapiens; assembly: GCF_000001405.40. Lineage (NCBI taxonomy): Eukaryota > Metazoa > Chordata > Mammalia > Primates > Hominidae > Homo > Homo sapiens. Next base: position 10,513,125 of record NC_000006.12, read on the forward strand.
GGATGGGTTGAGTCCAGGAAGTTGATGTGGCAGTGATTGCACTCCAGCCTGGGCACAGACCCAGACCCCAACTCTAAGATAAGAAGAAGAAGAGTTAGGTTTGAAAACCCCAGGCTGCCATTAACTCATTACTGGATATCAGGCAAGCTAGCATATCTTTGGGCGTAATTTCTTCATGTGCAAAGTGGATATAATGTCAATGCTTACCTCTCAGGCCATCAGTGAGAAAATGGAGACAAAATGTGATAGAATAGTCGTTATGGGTCATTGTCAGTGTTCTTTATTTGTAACTGAATCAATTGGTGAGAATAATCTGCAAGATTCCTTTCAATCCTGAAATACTATAAATTCTTGATCTTTATTTTTAAGTAAAGAGACCCCACTATCGAGGAGTTCTGGGTGCTGTCCACGTAAATGGTGACCTACTTCAGGACAACTGTGATTGCCTGAAGTTGAAGAAATATAGTGTCCCTTGCATTCAAAGGTGACATCAGTGATGGTGATGGTGGCTCTGCATGGGAAAAAGAGGTGCCAAATGAACACACATTCCACCTGTACTCCACATGGGAAAAACACCCTGAGCTGGCAGCTGTGGCCGATTTGCTAGGGTCTTAATTTGTGGTTGACCTAGACAGAGGTGCCCAACTGTGCCTGGCTTTTGTGAAGTGGTCAGCTGGCCCCACTGGCTCATGTTCAAAGAGTCACCTGATTTTTTAAATAGAAGAGCTACCGACTTGTGGTTGATCCTCCTTCTTTTAAGTAAATGGTCATATTGCACTTCTTGCTGCAAATAAGTTGCTAGAGCACATTTCTCAAGTCTGGGCAGGGACCTGCAGACTGACTTCAGCAATGGCATAAAATCAGGTGAATGATGAATCCAGAAAAGACCATAGGAAAAATAAAGGTAGAGGCATTTGGGTTGGTCCTAGGGCTTATGGCCACGTCCATAACTCTTTTATTCCTGTATAGTAACTATTAGGTCCCGCAAAAATATCTTCCATGGGGGAAGATCTCAAACTCTTCAGTCCTTGCAGAAGTGTGTGGCATGATTGTGACAGGCAAGAAAATGTTCTTGGATGAAAATATACCAGTGACGCCATTGAGAAATAATAACCTGCCAGCGATACTTGATCCGAAATCACTGCATAATGGAACCTGTGTCCAAAGACGAAGCCGAGTTCCCTTTGGCCTATGTCATGGTCATCCGCAAAGACTGATACATTTGAAAGACTCTTGAGGGCCATCTACACTCCCCAAAACATCTACTGTGTTCATGTGGATCAGAAGGCCCCAGTCACTTTCAAAGACGCTGTAAGAAAGCTACTGAGCTGCTTCACAAACGTCTCTGTGGCTTCTGAGAGGGAGTCTCTGTTCTACACAGGGATCTCCAGGCTCCAGGCTGACCTGCACTGCCTGAAAGA